>NC_000006.12:158101093-158252608 GCF_000001405.40 Homo sapiens
TCTCAATCCCTGGCAACCACTTACCTTTTACTGTCTCCATGGTTTTTCCCTTTCCTGAATGTCATAGAGTTGGAATCACACAGTATGTAGTCTTTTCATGAGTGGATAGCTCTTTTTTTTCAGTGCTGAATATAATCCATTGTCTGGACGTACCAGTTTATCCATTCTCCTACTGAAAGACACCTTAGTTGCCTTCAAGTTTTGGCAATTATGAATAAAGCTGCTATCAACATCTGTGTGCATGTTTTTGTGTGGACATAAGTTTTCAATTCATTTGGGTAAATAGGAAGGAGTGTAATTGCTGGATCATATGGTAAGAGTATGTCTGTAAGAAACTGCCAAACTGTCTTCCAAAGTGGCAGTACCATTTTGCATTCCCCCCAGCAGTGAATGAGAGTTCCTGTTGCTCCACATCCTCACCAGCATCCGGTGCTGACAGCATTTTGGGATTTTGGCCATTCTAACAGGTATGTTGTGATGTCTTAATTTGCAATTTCCTAATGACATGATATTGAACATCTCGTATGTTTGCCATCTGTGTGTCTTCTTTGGTGAGGTATCTGTTCATATATTTGGCCCAGTTTTTAAATGGATAAAGTTCATTTTCTTACTGTTGAGTTTTAAGCGTTCTTCATACATTTTGGATAACAGTCCTTTATCAGATACATCTTTTGTAAGTATTTTCTCTGAGTCTGTGGCTTGTCTTTTGATTCTCTTGACATTGTCTTTTTGCAGAGCAGAAAGAGGATTAAGAATTTGAAAAGTAACAGAGTCGATTAATAGAAAGGATGTTAGTCAATGGTAAAGATAATTTCAGAGGACCTATAGTTTAGGATTTTATTCTGTGTATAACAGAAGAAGTTGTTTGTAGAAATATCTGAATAAATCTGTGTGGTAGAATGGTTAAGGTTATAGGCTTTGCCTGGGATAATAGCAGCTCTTCAAAGCATCTGGAATATAGTTTAGAAATGGTATGAAGTGGACCCAACAGCTTCTTCCTGAGGGACGCCTATACAATGACCATTTGTTAAGTAATAAACCATTGCTCTTGCTTCCCGAATTAGGTTTCTCAAGGGGTTATTCAATTTTATTGACATTTTCAAAGAACACCTTTGGGATTTATATATCCTTTCTATTGTTTTCTTTTCTTTTTAGAGACAGGATCTCACTCTGTCACCCAGGCTGGAGTGCAGTGGCATGATCATAGCTCACTGTAGCCTTGACCTCCTGGGCTCAAGCAATACTCCCACCTCAGGTCCCAAGTAGCTGAAACTATAGGGGCTTGCCACCATGCCTGGCTAGTTTTTTGTATTTTTTGTAGAGACAGGGTTTCACCATGTTGCCCAGGCTGGTCTCGAACTCCTGGCCTCGAGCAATCCTCCCCCCTTGGCCTCCCAAAGTGCTGGGACTACAGTGCAGTGGTTCAGACCTGTAATCTTAGTACTTTGGGAGGCCGAGGCAGGCAGATCACTTGAGGTCAGGAGTTCAAGATCAGCCTGGCCAAATATGGGAAAAACCATTCTCTACTACAAATACAAAAATTAGCCAGGCATGGTGGTGCATGCCTGTAATCCCAGCTACTTGGGAGGCTGAGGTACAAGAATCGCTTGAACCCAGGAGGTGGAGGCTGCAGTGAGCCAAGATTGTGCCACTGCACTCCATCCTGGGTGACAGAGTGAGACTGTCTAAAAATATATTTTTTCTTTGTATTTTTAAACATCTTTCATTAATTTTTAACTTTAACTTGGATCTGTTTTGTACTTTTACTTTTGTTCTTTTCCTAATCTTAATAGTAGAACTGGGTTTTCATTTTTGGTCTTTCATAGTTAATAATAAAGATATTTAATTAAAGTTATACATTTTCCCTTGATTTTAGCTTTAACTGCACCCTATACATTTTGGAATGAAATTTCCTCCTTGTCATTAATTGCTAGATTGTAATTTGTCGTTGCGTTCTCTTTGATCCATTGGTTATTTAGGAGACTGTATAATTTCCAAATAGTTAAGGGTTTTTTGTTTTTATTTTTGATTTTGGGTTTTTTGTTTTTTTTTTTTTTGGCATTTTAAATTACTTAGCCCTAATTTTATTGGCCTGTGACCTGAGACTATGACCTAGAAAACCATCTACTTTTAAAAATGTGTTAACGTTCGATGTGGCCATGTGGAGGATTGATTTGCAAAGTGGTTTCATCAATATAATTTTTTTTTTTTAGTCATAGGGTACAAAATTGTGTGTGTGTGTGTGAGAGAGAGAGAGAGAGAAATTGATTTGCTGTCAATTACACTCTACCTGCTGGAACAGGTCTTTGTGCAAGGCAGATCTGTGGGGGATGGTGAAGGCTCTAGTTCTAGTTCCAAAGTGATGCCTTCGCCTTGCTCCTACCAAGATTCCTTAGATCTTGCTGAATAAATGTTTCACGATTTGTTGTCAGCCTTTTGGTCAATCTCTAGAGACATTGAATGATGGCTTTTGCTAATTTTGACCAGTTTAATAGATGTCTTTCTGTGGGAGAGGTTTCCCTGAGCAGCTCATACAGCTGTTCCAGAATGTAGACCTTCTGGGCTCTCCGTGTTCTGTAGCATTGGCCTGCTTGTCTATCCGTGTGCCAATACAACGTTGCCTTATTTCATTTAACTTTGTTATCTGATAAGCACTCTCACCATATTCTTTTTCTTTAAGAGTATCTTGGCTATTTTTGAGTCTTTGTATTTTTAGATCAATTTTAAAATCAATTGAAGTTTCATTTTTTAAAAACCTGTTGCAATTTTTGGGATTGCATGGAATAGAATAGACAGCTTTACGGTATTGAGTCTTCAGTCCAAGAACCCATCACATCTCTTCATTTAAGGTTTTCCTTGATGTTTCTTAGTTTTTAACTTGTAAAAAGTTTCAGACATACATTAAATCAGAGGGAATAGCCTGGACCCTCGCATATCTGTCACCTGGGATTTAACAGTAATAACCCTTTGCTATATTTGCTTTATATATTTTTCCTTTGCTGAAATATTTCAAAGCAATTCTGCTATCATACTTGATTCCTCGGTACTTTCAACGTGTATCTCCAACATTTTCTTTCATAACCTTAATGTCATTATTATATCTAACAGACAATACTTATTTTAAAATTCATTTGCTATTTTTTACTAGTATACTTACAGACTTTTTATATTGAATGCATCAGCAACCTTGCCAAACTCTCAAAATTCTAACAATTTACTGTATTTTGATACACCTAGTATACCATCAATTATCAGACACACCATTTATGTACCATCATTCTTAAGACGGCTTCCAACTAAGACTCAGTAGCTATTGTGAGATGCAGCCCAATTACAGAGATGTTCAAATATTGTGAAATGTGTCTTGGAATTGATAAAACATGGTATCTGTGGTTTTTTTGGATTTTCTATGTAAATAATCATATTAGCAAACAATGAATTTTGTTTATTCCTTTCTCATCCTTGTATCTTTGTGTCTTTTTCTTGCCTTACAGAGTTGGCTAGGACATTTAGGACGATGTTTAAAATGCTGCTGGTAGGCATTCTTGTGTTATTCCTGTTCTCAGAGGGAAGATGTTAATATTTTTACCACTAAGTATGATGTTTACTGTTGTTGTTTTTTTCTTTTAATATCCTTTATTGACAAAATTCTCTTCCTGGCTTGCTAAGTTTATCTTTTGCATGAATAGTGGTTGAATTTTATCAGATATTTTGTGTGTATTGCAATGATTATGATTTTTCCTTTTGTTTAATTTGGGGAATTACATTGATCAATTTTTCAGTGCTAAGCAAACCTTGCATTCATTCATTGCGTAACTCCAACTTGGGGAGATTATTTTACCCCCTTAAATATTGCTGGCTTTAATTTGTCAATATTTTTGCTTGGGATTTTTGCAGCTACATCCATGAGAACGGCTTGTAACTGTCCCTTTTTTATACTGTCCTTGAATGGTTTTGGTATCAGAGTTTTGTTAACCTCATAAAATGAGCTGGGGACTACACTCTTTTTCTATTAACTGGGAAAACTTGATAACATTGGAACTATTTCCTCCTTAAACTTTCGGTAGCACTCACCAGTCAAGTTCTGTCTAGGTTTGTTCTAAGCTAATTTTAATACATGAAATATAGGTCATAAATGTTCTCTGATGATTTTCAGCAGTAAGAATATACTGATAATCTCGAAGTCATAAATATGGCTAGTCCTTCCTGACCAGTAAGGAACAGTACATTGAATTCACTTGGGCCTATAGTTTGTGAGATTTTAAAACCACTTATTCTATTCCTTTTATAGGAATAGGACTATAAAAGTTTTCTATTTCATAGGCAACTTGGGTAAGCTGTATTTTCCTTGGAGTTTTCTATTAAAAATTGAGTAGTATTGGCCTGAAAGTATCTATTAATATCCTCTTATCTTGTAATGTGTGCATTGTAGTGATATTTCCTCTTCCTTCCTAACATTGGCAACTTGTGCCTCTTTTTTCACTTGATTGTGTCAGGTGGGTCTCTTATAAACACATATAGTAGGGTGTTATTTCTTATCCAGTCTGACACACTATCTTTTAACTGGGGCATTTAGCTCATTTACATTTAATGCAATTATTACTATATTTGGGTTTTCACTTGCCATGCCATTTTGTGCTTTCTCTTAGTACCATCTGTTCCTTATTTCTTTTCCCCTCTGTTTGTGCCTTAAGATTTTTTTTTTTTATTCCCCTTTTTCTTCTCTCCTAGTTTGGAATTCATTATATACACTATTTTTTGTCTATTATTGGTTATCTTAGAAACAAAATACGTATCATTAAATTCTCAAAGTCTAGTGATAATCATTGTTTTACCTTCCTCCTAAATAACACAACAACCTTGGAGCACTTAACTCCATTTACCCACCCCCAACTTATATGCTATAGTTGCTGTGTATTTTAATTTTACATATTTTAACACCCACTTGATATATTATGTTTTATAAAATTTTTATTTAATTTATCCTAGTAGTTACCTCTTTTTTCACTCCACATTCTTTCTTGAATTCCAGTGCCTCTGGCTGGATCACTTGCCTTCTGCCTTCCATTAATGAAGGTCTGCTGGCAGTAAACTCTTTTTCTTTATATAAAATGTCCATTTCATCTTAATATTTTAAGTGTTTATGATTTGTACTGGATGTATAATTCTAGATTGCAAGTGGTTTTCTTTTAGCACATTGACAATATCATTCCAGTGTCTTCTGGCTTCCATTGACTTAGGACTTCTCAACAGCAGCAATTTTAACTGTTGTTCTTTACACATTTTTCTCTAACTACTTTTAAGATCTTCCTCTTGTCTTGGCTTTTCTGCAGTGTCCCTATTCTCTGTATAGATGCAGATTTATTTTTATATGCTCTGCTTTGGATTAACTTCTTCAGTCTGTGGAATGAGCCACCACGCCCGGCCTCCTGGATGCTATTTCTATAGATAAAATAGTGGGCCAGGTATGGTGGCTCACGCCTATAATCCCAGCACTTTGGGAGGCCGATGTGGTGGGATCACCTGAGGTCAGGAGTTCGAGACCAGCCTGACCAATATGGTGAAAACCTGCCTCTACTAAAAATACAAAAATCAGCTGGGCATGGTAACACATGCCTGTCATCCCAGCTACTTGGGAGGCTGAGGCAGGAGAATTGCTTGAACCCGGAAGACGGAGGTTGCAGTGAGCCGAGATTGCACACTCCAGCCTGGGCGACAGAGCAAGACTCTGTCTCATAATAATAATAATAATTTATTTTTGCCAATAAATCATTATTATTTTCTTTGTAGCTCTTTGATCAATTAAAAACATTTCGTCTAGATTCTTTAATTGTCCTCACTGGGAGATTAGATCCAAATGATCTATCCTGCTATTACTGAAAGCAGAAGCCTGTTATTATTTTTTAAGATTCCTTTTTCACTAATATTCCATCTTATGTTGCAATAACTTGACCAGTGAGCACAGTGGCTATGATTTGGATTTTGACTTTTACAGAGCTTTCTTTTTAAAATAAATTGTGTATCAAAGTAACAAATACTCAGCTGGGTGCAGTGGCTCACGCCTGTAATCCCAGCACTTTTGGAAACGGAGGTGGGTGGATCACTTGAGGTCAGGAATTTGAGACCAGCCTGGCCAACACAGTGAAACTCCCATCTCTACTAAAAATACAAAAATTAGCCGGGTGTGGGTGGTAGGTGCCTTTAATCCCAGCTACTTGGGAGGCTGAAGCAGGAGAATCGCTTGTACCCAGGAGGCGGAGGTTGCAGCAAGCCGAGATCGCGCCATTGCACTCCAGCTTGGGCAAGAGTGAGACTCTGTCTCAAAAAAAAAAAAAAAAAAAGAAAAGAAAAGAAAAAAGTAACAAATACTCATAAAATTAAGCATTAAAATATGAAAAGTTAACCCAAAATCTACCCAGAAGTAATCATAAACATTACTTTAGAAATCTTTCTATGTGTATTATAGTGTCTGGCATTTTACTATACATATACACATAGATTTCTAGAATATATAAAACATGTTTATTAAATATAGGTTATTAAATATATATTCTAGAATACATATATTTTTAATGTTTAATATTTAGATAGTATGCTATATGTCATATGGTTTGTAAATTATGTTTAATATTAATGACATATAGTATGATGGCATACTATATGTCATTATCTAATAAACTTACCTTAGGCTAAGAAGGTAAAACTAGAACTGCACAGTATTCCCCAATTCTTGCAGGCTTGAGCATGCTGGTCCATTACCTTTGTACCCATTTCAAGGGCAACTTAGCTGAGCACACAATTCTTTCTCTCCAACATTATTGTTTTCTAACATAAGTGTTTTTGTTTTTAGGGTTTTTGTTTGCATTTTAAAGTGTGCTATTTTTATTCCCTTTTTTTTAAATGTCTGGATTGAATTAACAAGCAAATTTGTCAGGAAAGGCACATAGGTCCCTATTCCTTGAGGTGATGTTGACAATGCCTGTCTGTCTATTGCCTTTACAATTGAACAGCTTATCTATTATCTTCTAATTATTTTATTTTGCTTCTGCATCTATTGTGGTTCCATATCCATCCAGCCACCTCTCTATTGATAGAATTTTCATCCATTTCTTTTTTTTTTTTTGAGACGAAGTCTTGCTCTGTCGCCCAGGCTGGAGTGCAGTGGCGAGATCTCAGCTCACTGCAACCTCCGCCTCCTGGAGTCAAGCAATTCCCCTGCCTCAGCCTCCTGAGTAGCTGGGATTACAGGTGCGTGCCACCACACCTAATTTTTTTTTTTTTTTTTTTTTTTGTATTTTAGTAGAGACGGAGTTTCAACACGTTGGTCAGGATGGTCTCGATCTCCTGACCTTGTGATCCACCCACCTTCGCCTCCCAAAGTGCTGGGATTACAGGCGTGAGCCACCACACCCAGCCCCATTTCTATTCTTTAATGTGCTGTTTCTACTTCTGTAATTGTGCTGATTTGATTTTCAAGTGCTTTCCACCTTTTCCTTCATCACTTTTTTGTTGTTCAGGGATTATATTTTCTTTTAGAATTGCACCTTCAGCCATCATTTTATACAGATGCTCCTTGATTTACGATGGGGCTGCAACCGCATAAACCCATTGTAAGTCAAAAATGCATTTAACAATCTGATAAACCCATTGTGAACTCAAAAAATTGTGAGTTGAACCATCGTTAAGCTGGGGACCATCTGTACTTGTTTATTTTGCTTTACTGTGTTGCTTATGTGCTATACCATTTCTTTTAATCTTGCTTGTGTATAATAAATTTTATCCAGACTATTCTAATTTAGTTAAGAATACATTGGATATCTCTTCCACATCTTATTTTTAAAGCACGGCTGTATTCTATTAAAAATTTAAGAAACAGGGTTTCCATTCCATACTCTGAATTAATGAACAGTTGTTTCAACTGTGGTTTATCTGCCATGGTTCACAGAAAGCAGAACAAGAAAATTTACTAAACAGGGCCAGGTGTGGTGGCTCACGCCTGTAATCCCAGCACTATGGGAGGCCGAGGCGGGCAGATCACAAGGTCCAGAGATCGAGACCGTCCTGGCCAACATGGTGAAACCCCGTTTCTACTAAAAATACAAAAATTAGCTGGGCATGGTGGCGCGTGGCTGTATTCCCAGCTACTCAGGAGGCTGAGGCAGGAGAATCGCTTGAACCTGGGGAGGTGGAGGTTGCAGTGAGCCGAGATCGTGCCACTGCACTCCAGCCTGGTGACAGAGCGAGACTCTATCTCAAAAACAAAAAAAAAAAAAAAGAGAAAAAATGTACTAAACATATCTACCCCTTCTCCCCATGTTATCACATTGGGTAGTACATTCGTTGTTAGCAACTGTCATATTTGCTATGTCTACTACAGCAATAAATAAGTGGGTTTTGCTAGGTTGTTGTACAATGAAACAATTAATTGTTGATATCGAGTTTATTGATGAGCCATTTACCTTCAGATGCCATACTCCAGTTTTAGCTTCGACTATCTCATTCTACAAAAGTTCACCATCTTCAAAATTTAAACATAGACTTACCATTTGACCAGCAATTCCACCCAAGAGAATCAAAAACATCTATCCACACATAAATTTGTACACAAATGATCATGGTAGCATTATTTATCATAGACAAAAATGAACAGAACCTAGATGTCCATCAGCTGATGAATGGATAAAGAAACATGGCATATCATACAATGGAGTAATTTCGGCCATAAAAAGAAATGAAGTAGTACTGATACATGCTATATCATGAATGAACCTTGAAAACATGCTAATAGAAGGAAGAAGGCAGAGAGGGCCACATATTGTATGATTCCATTTACATAAAATTCCCAAATCCATAGAGACAGAAAACAGATTAGTGTTTACCGCAGGCTTGGGAAAGCAGAGGTGGGAACTGACTGCTCATGGGTATGGGGTTCTTTTGGGGATGATGAAATAGCCTGAAATTAAATAGCAATGATGTTGCACAACTCAGTGAACTATACTAAAAACCAATGAATTGAGCCTGGGAACAATGGCTCTGGCCTATAATCACAGCATTTTGGGAGGGTGGCTTGAGATCGGGAGTTTGAGACCTGGGCAACACAGTGAGACCCTGTCTCTACAAAAAAGTATTTATTTATTTTTTAATTACCCAAGTGTGGTGGCATGTGCCTGTAGTCCTAGCTGCTTGGGAGGCTGAAGCAAAAGGATCTCTTGAGCCCAGGAGTTTGAGGTTACAATGAGCTATGATCATGCCACTGCACTCCAGCTTGGGCAACAGAGTCAGACCCTGTCTCTAAACAAACAAAACAAAACAAAAATGAATTGTATAATTTAAAAGGGTGAATCTTATGGTATGTAAATTATATCTCAATAATGCTGTTACTCTAAAGAAAAAAAGGTCATCGACATGATTATCTACTACTCACATGCTATAGAGGTCAATTAATACCACTTGCAAATGAGCAAGGAAGAAGAAAGGTTTATTTAGCCAAAGAGAATCTGAGAATCTTGATACTAAGAATTGCTAATTCATATAATGGCTTAGAATAGTTTTACTTCATACTGTGATCAATAATGGATTAGCTACTTTATCCTTATCTAGGACAAATTCCAAGCATAGGCAGCTACAGTCTGAAAAGAATTATTATAAGCTAGAATTTTTCTAAGAAAAAGATTTGTTCTCAGGAATACGAAAATAGATACAAGGAACTGACCCAGACATGACAATAAGTCTAACAAAGTTAACACTAGTAATAATGTGTCAGATAAAAGGTAGAACTGAGCTAAAAACTCAAACTTTAAAAATGTACAGCAAATCAATACCCAGAAGTAAAAGAGTCTTGAATGTTCTAGTTCATTCTTCTCTCCATTTTAGGTACTCTCTTAATGGCATTTTTATGGTAAGTTGAGTTACCTCAGAACCTGCCGTGCCCCTCCTGGATGCACCAGGAAAGTCACAGATGGGAAAGGACACTCTCTCACAGCAGCTTTGCTCCAGTCACCAAGCCCAACACTGCGAACCATAAAGCAGCACACAGGGACTTCTTTACACCAAAGGGGCCCAATCCAGCCCTTCCTTCTGTGCCTGCCACTTCCGGGTTGGTGCTTTACAGCGCTTGAAGGGAGAACAATGTTCTGTAGTCTGCAACACACTCCAGACCATGTTGACGCTATGATCACTATGTTTGCATGATTGCATAGAGCTTAAAAGAAGAAACAGAACACCAAGTTTCTTGCACTGAATTCACATATGAAAACTGGAAGAGCACAACTGTTAGTTTTCAAGGTCTTTGGCTAAAGCTTCACGAATGAATTGTAAAGTACGCTGGTACAAAAAAGCATCCTTTTTCTTTGGCTTACAAATGTTCAAATGGTTAACATCCACAGGAATTAGATCTCCAATGCCTAAATCTGAAGAAAATAAAAAAGTCAATAAACCTAAGTAAAAATATAAGCTTTCCCCTTGACAATACTGAAAGAGGCCGAATGGGTAGTTCTAGACATTGCTTTGGTTGTGACAAGGGACTCTTAAAAGATAAAGGAACCTGAAGTTTGATTGCAGCTAAACTACATTTGATGAAACATGCAGGAAGGGATTCTCAGTCAGTAGAACCATAGTTTTATGCTTTCCATGAACTTTTCGTATGTGTTCTGGCCTACTTCCTTATTTCAGAGCAAGCAGAGATTGAGCACTAACATATTCAAAACCTTCTTACACCTGCAGGTTATTGCTAAGTTACTTCAGAGTTTCTATTATAAACTTCCTTTCTCCTGGTGAAATGAATGGGAATGTCTCACATGGGATCCATTCTATACCTAAATCCCAATAATCACTTTCAGGGTAAAAATGATTTAGTGCTTGAGATATTTCGGTCTAACAAAGTCCCCTCGCACGGAAGTGATAAGAGGTACTAGTGAGGCCACCTAGGTGAGGAATGCAGGTGGTGGTTATGAAGGAAGAAAAGCCTCTTGGTGACAGAATTAGGGCAAGGCTATGCCACTCCAAGCAGCTGGTCCATGATATTAACTTTGCTTTTGGGCGAGGCACAGTGGCTCACACCAGTAATCCCAGCACTTTGGGAGGCCAACGCAGGAGGACTGCTTGAGGCCAGGAATTTGAGACCAGCCTGGGCAACACAGCAAGACCCCATTTATACAAAAAATTTAAAAATTTAGACAGGTGTGGTGGTGTGCGCCTGTGGTCCCAGCTACTCAGGAGGCTGAAGTGGGAGGAACGCTTGAGCCCAGGAGTTCGAGGCTGCAATGAGCTATGATTATACCACTGAACTCCAGCCTGGATGACAAAGTGAGACCCTGTCTCTTAAAAACAAAAACAAAAAACTATGCTGTTGCTTCAAGCTTCCAAAGTCCTTTTTAAAAACATCTGGCAGCTGTTCTTTGGAACTCTTCAAGTTCTTCAACTACTAAATAGTAACTCCTCAACCTACAGCATATTACTTTAAGGTAAAATTTTTCAGTTCTACTACACAGTATGACATTTTTCATTTTATGTAGATAGCATATAATGAAATTAGGACAAAACTCATTATGTAGACAAAAGAACCATCTGGCAAGCACTCCAGATGCATGCTGTCCCTAGCCTGAAGGACCCACAATGTGGCTGGCTACCACCAGAACAGCACCTAAGCCAGCCTCAGAGGCAGTAAGAAAGGGGTTCCCAGAGATAACAGGCAAGCTGAAGACATGGCCAGGTGAGGCAAAAGCAGTTCAGGTGGTGAAATGTACAGGGTATCTAGTATGTACAGAGTAACAGAGGAGTCTATGAAGAGAGTTAATTAAGATCTGGGCTCCTCCCTCAAAGAATCTATAATACATTATATGACACTAGAGAGCAAGCACTGGCCATTTCCCTCAACCCCAGGATCATGAAGAGATTGTAGTTCAACACTAGTTTTTCCCACTGGAATATTTCTGGAGCTTTACTATTCCCCATGGATCTTCTATTTACGAAAGCTTCCACACTTTTAGATGATTTTCTTAAGGGTTCTGCATGTAAATATAAGTCTAAGTCTATTAAATAAATGCCCCTTTTGATCTAGCTGATAGAAGAGCTTTCTTTACTGCAAAAGAGTTCACTGTTGATGCCTAACTTAGAGTTAGCCAATTAACCCTTCTCATCTAATCAGTTACATAAAGGGCAGGGAGAGGTAATACCCGGGTTATATGTTTACAGAGAAATTTTAATCTATTGCTGAAAAGAATAAAAGAAATCAAATCTAGACCTTCATAAACTATCTCTTAAAACTGAGAACCTGGATATAAAAATTGCTGTTTACAAGTAAATGCTAGGTATAATTAAGCATCTAACAGCCAACAAGTTTCAAAAGAGTGAATACCTGCTGATTCCACAGGTACCACATGGAGCTTAATCATGCTGCCAATGTAGGTTGGTAGTGTTTCCACAAAATTCAGCACCTGGAAGTTTTTGTCTTTAGCAAACTCCAGAAAGTCATCTTGTAGTGTTTTAAGTGCAGGAGAATCTGTAAAATTATACAGAACAAGACTGTGACAAGTTGTTTACCCAATTCATAATAAAATGCATTAATCTTTCAAATTTAGAGAGGAAATTAGAATTCTGATTCAAGACGGTGGCTTGAGTACACATGTTTATTTTCTCCCCTGCCAAGAAGCCACTAAGATTCAAGGAAAAAGCTAAAACCAAGAATCGACAGGACAGTCAGCAGCAGGAGAGGGTTTATCACATTACTGGGGGCAGGAAGCAGTTCCCAGGGCAGTCTGGTGTGTGGGACCACAGGGGTCCTCCAGTGTGATGATGGCACCACAACACCCACCCCAAAGCCCAGCCTCCCACCAACAAAGCCTGTCTACAATCACAGAATGCCTGTCCCTTCCCATCCCTCACCCTCACATATGAAAGAGCAACCAAGAGGCACCAGATAGGCCTATGACCTAAAAGAGATGGATCAGATAAGCAAACAGAAAAGCTGGCCACAGAAAAAAAACAGCTAGATGAGGAGTAGAAGGGAACTCACAAACCTTCTACTTAGGATCTTTAGAATTATTTGAAAAGATAAAGGAGCCACAAAACAAGAAGAGGACATGAGTGCAGAACCACCAGGGCACAGGAAAGAAGGCACGTACGGAAAACACAATCTGACTCCACGAAAGGAAAGTCCAACAGAAGGTTTAGAAGAAATCAAGAGATTCTCCATAAAGTAGAACAAAGAGAAAATAGGAGCAAAAAGACACCTGGTATATTTAGGCTCGAGCCAGGGAATCCAAATTCCGATTAACAGGTGTTCCAGAGAGAAAACTGCTTATCAAACCAGAGTACTTTAAAATTAATACTAACAATCTCAAAGTTTCATTTACATTTTAACAGTTGATGATTCTCCACTCATGGGGGAAAAAAGCCATTTATTGGTAATTTGGAATAATACTTAAAAGCAAAACATTATCTGATTATTTTTCTAATTTTAAGTATTTAAGATAATATTAAAATTATTACAATGCTTGAGTAAATAATGGCTTAAGAACAAAATGAGAAATTATCAAAGAAAAATCAAGCCCAACCCAAAATTTCCATGAATAGTCTAAACACAATTATATACAAATTATAAAATGAGATAATACATTCAAGGAAGAAACTTTTTCTTCTTCTCTGTGTAACTGATGTTAATATAACCCCAATTTCCTTTATGACAAAAAGTATTACCCTTGCTGAGTTCTTTGACTTCCAACGAGGGGAAGAGAAGATAGCGAATATTAACAGAGTATTCAGCCAAACGTGATCCATGATGAGGGACACTATAAAAAATTATTCCTCTGGTATTGTTGATAACAGTACTCATTTCTGGCTTCGTAGAGGCTTCCAACAGCATCTTTTTGACAAGAAGACCTAGCCACAGACAAGGGAAAAAAACAATGCATAAGCTATTTTCCTTCCCTTTATTACTGTAAAAAAAGAAAAGGCCAAACAAGAAATACATAAAAAGAGATGCTTTCTTTTTAAAAAAAATGGTTTAAACAATTCTCTGTACAGTAGTATAAGAAATAAGGCCTTAAAACACTTAATAATACTCCTGATCCTTATAGTGCAAGCCTACAAACAGGGATTCTAGAAACTCATTTGTAGGGCAGAGCCTTGTCTCACAGGATCTACTGTCCCAGTGCAGGAACATGAGGTATGCCCAGCTGGGAGCTCCCTCAGGACATGAGCGTGGTGTGGCTGGTCTCTCAGCCTGCTATGGCAGACCGCTGATGACCACACTGTCAGGACAGTGCTACTATTCCACAGCACACAGTCCCCCATGGAGAACACAGCTTTCATGGGAACTGTTCCTCTGGAGGCACCTTTTCTTCCATCCCCCTGCCCCGGCTTTGGAACCGATAATGAAACACAAAGATCTAAAGGATGATGACAGTAGGTCTTTGAGGACACGAAGGGCTACACCCACCTTTGTCTCAGCAAAAATCCCCACCTCAGAGGCAATCCTGAGTGCTTCATCAGATAAACTAGGCCACGGGCTGCAGAAAGGCCTTCTGCAAGGTGGGTGGTGAAAATTTCAAAGTGGACTGGGGGAGTCGCACACAGGGGAGGCCATTCCATAAGCAACCACTAGGACCCCAAGAACAGACACTTGATCACACCTGTACCTCAGCAGCTCTGGGCCTGGTGTGAGCAGGCACCCAGAGTCTGGGACTGTGGGCACTAAAGCGACCATAGACTGCAATGGTGAGGGGGAGCAGGAAGAATAAAGGGGCACCCCTGGGGCCACCCAAGAATGCTGAGGCATGTTGACGAGGTGGGTGTATATGAAACGGGCTGCTTCTCATGTTTATTCATTACCGCTATGTGAAAGCACTACGCTGTCAAACCCATATCCCTCTTAGATGATTTGTAACAGGTTGCCCTTTTCTAGAGAAAGGAACAGCATGGAACAAGAGTAGTAATTTTAAAAGTCCTAGCCATAGCTACACAGATTAATTTAGCAGGGGGGGTAAGGGAGCCGCTATTAAGTAAAATGGAAAGATAAAATAACTTTAGGTTGGCCACAGTGGCTGAAAATAACATCACAATGGCCACTTCACAAAGTTGAAGCCACACTTACCTCCCATGCTATGTGATATCCAAACCACTGGCCTATCCCCAACACCAGCAGCTCTGAGCTTCCTAAGAAGTTCGTTGCTTCTGAATGCAATGGACTTTCTGAACAAAACAAAAACAGCAGGCATGACACAAGGCTATCGATCCCCTCAATTTGCTGTCTAATTTTTAGAGTTAAGAACTTTAGTCTACAGGACCAATGCTACATACTACATTTAGAGTAAGAAATACCCCCATTCTCTCTGCTTAATATAAAATACCCCTATTCTCTCTTATTGAACTCCTGGCCCCAAGGAATCCTCCCACCTCGGCCTCCCAAAGCACTAGGATTATAGGCATGAGCCACCACGCCTGGGATCTCTCTGCTCAATTCCTGAAATCGTTAATTCTCTATTTGTAACTTATTAACATTGGCCTAATTAGGAATATCTAAGCCCAGAACAGGCCATTCATTTACTGCATGAACATTGTTGGAGCACCTGTGTCAGGCAATTTTTTCGGGTCAAATGTGGGTCTCCCTGCAACTGCCCTCCAACACTTAGGATATGGATGTCCTTTTTCATCCAAGGCCTGACAATGAAAGTATCACCAAAGACTGTGGTCTCTCTACTGGTAGTTAGGCTGCAAAAATATTAAGCTTTCATAATTTTGGTTTATTCTTTAGAAATACTAGGGTGCTATTTAGAAAAACTAGAATGAGTCAAGTTTATTAGCACTTATTCCTTCCAATGCATGCTTTTATAACTAGCATAAACAGGATGCTAATAGAATCAGAATTCGAAATAAGTAATTTTTAAACTAAAGAGGAACTTCAAAACTATCTAGTCTGGTAGTTTCAAACTGTTTATTTGTAGACACATTTCTTCAAAATAAAGGTTCTCCAGAGCTCCTCTGGGTGAAATGGGGAGGGAGACCTGGGGTCTTGCCTGCTCACCTTGACACCCTTCTTGGGCACCTACGGGAGGTTCATTCAGAAAGCAGTTTGATAACACTGATTTAGACCAACTCTGTCAATCTGTAGACAAAGCTTCCCGGAAAAGTTAACTGACTGGTCTAAGACTGCACAGCAAATCAAAGGTAGGATCCGGCTACTCTCAGTCCAGTAACTCTGAAATCCAGCACTCCTTCCCATGTATACAACTGGCACAGATGACATACAAGGGAAATAGCAGCTGATATTTCTCAGCATCTTTCTCTTTGCTTCCTTTAGCCAGTATGATTGTGGACACAAGAACAAAAAAACATCACTTTTACTTCTGATAGAAAAGGAGACTGCTAGACAATCCACGATCCTTCACTATTAGAACAGTTGTAAATAAACCATGTTAGGAGCCCACCATTGGTGATATACCTAAGCCTTCTACTATTCCACTGCTTATTGACAGCAAACTCCTTCTAGAAGGAAGACAAAAAAGATTAGGTTTGTTCTTCATAAGAAAATCCTGTCTGTGGCATCAAAAAATTAAAATCACTTCCCATCCAAGAGGACCTAAACTTGCGGCCTGAATTCTTCCCTGTCCTCCTGGTCTAAAGTCGCCTCTGTTACCTTTCCATAGGGCACCTTGCTCTCCAGTCGCTGAGGCTGGTGTCATACTCCACAGATATAATTCGGAGAGCAGGACAGTCTTTTGCTAACCATGTCTAAGTAAAATAAAACATATGTGAGAACAAGTATGAATCTTCACCACTGCAATTACTGCCTAGTAAATCAAATTTATAACTAAAGGCCTCTTGCACTATAATTAAAGATAGCACTGGAATAAGGTTTGAAGGTACCGTAAAAACAATTCCAGCACTATCTTTTCAAGTCTCTGGTCTCGAAGTGGTACCAGTATTTATAGCATAAGGCCAATGAAGGTTTCAAGAGAATATTTTCCATTTTAAGCTGCTATAGCCAAAAGCAAGGCCTGTTTTAAAGTCTAGATCAAGTTGGCTTTTTGAAAGAATTTAGTAGAATGCTATAATCTCAGGACAGATGGCATAGTCTGACAGATTTTGGATCTGAGAATTCAGAGACACTAATAATAATCATCACAGTTCTATCTCTGTATACCCTAGGTCTATCATCATCTCTGTACTTCAGTGCCACCAGAAAGTGCAAATCATTCTTCTACTTGATAAGCCTTTGTGAAGGAGAATAAGTAGTAATGGAACAATGCCCTAAAAACTATTCACACGTATATGCAGCATCACTTTTAAATGAGCTTTAGATAAATTCCATTCAATGAATTCATTCCAGAATTAAGGTTCTTTGGGAGAAATAGTATCAAAGAAATGTAAAGTATTAATTAGCCAGGCATGATGGCATGTGCCTGTGGTCCCAGCTACTCAGGAGGCTGAGGGGGAATGACTGTTTGAGCCTGGGAGGTTGAGACTGCAGTGCGCTAGGATCGCACCACTGCACTCCAGTCTGGGTGACAAAATGAGACCCTCATCTCAAAAAAAAAAAAAAAAAAGAAGGAAAGAAATGCAAAGTATAATTACTTCTTCAAAGACTTTCTATTTTTGTAATTATTAAGGTCATAGAATTAGGTAACTATTATAAATGTAAGTATTGTTATGTTATTTTTGTATTATATTACAACAAAAGTGAACTATTACTGGCTCTTGCCCCTATTTTTTACTTAATAGAATATTTTTTGAGTCATACACTGCACCCCAAATGGAAATTATACAACATAGGGTGACAAGCCCAGTTGTTGTCAAAACATACTACAAATCTCCCTAAGGGAAAGAAGAACTGCATGGGAAAAAAATCCCAGAACAAAGAGAAAAACAAGCAAGCCACAATCAGGGCCCCAGCAACCAGGGCCCCAGCAACCAGGGCCAGAGTCAGTGGCTCCCTTACCTTGGGCCAGCACGTCGTATATCTGTCTTCATCCTCCATAGGTTTTTCAATTACAGCCTGCTCACTGTCCTGCTGGCGCCATGTTTTGAATGCTGCTCCCATAAGGCCATGAATAAAAAGGACATCTGCTTTAATGGGCTGACTAATAGGGGAGAGAGTTTTAAAAAGAAGCAGAATAAATGCATTACTGCTTTGGTAAGAATCTACACAGCATTCTCTGTGGATGGTGCTTTAGCAGGCTTATGTGACATAAAACTGAATTAAAGCAAGCTCTATAAGCACAGGTTTGCTGGGAAAACCTAGAAGGAGCTTTGGCAAAGACATACATGAAGCATGTTCACTGTTCTCTAAAAATGGAGACTATTCTAGTCAGGCAGACCAACCACAATCAATTGTAATGAGCTTAGCAATCAATCAACTGACAGATGTCATAGATTACCCTCTAAAGACTTCCATTTGAGAATATTCTACAAATCAATAAAAGTATTTAAGAAATTAAAGAAGAACGTGCTAATAACAGTTTCAAAGTCAGTATATATAAAAGAGATTTTCAAAAATGTGTTAAGGAAACTAATACTTATAAAATGAGATTTCAAAGTAACATTCACTCATTGCATATGACGCATTAAAAACTGTAGATAGTATGTTAGTTGCAAGCTATTTACAGTACACATACAATTATGCAATGCACATATATAACCATAATATTTTATTTACAAATTGTAATTAACCAGGTAATCCACTTTTTAATTTAAAAGTTTTTGCTATTTTCTGAGGTACTTTTTGTAAAGTGCCCTAAGAAAACCAAGAAATATGTTATTTTTTCAGTGTGGTCCCTTCTATATTTATTGTCTTAGCAATTATACAACTAGATATAATGACCACAAATAACCTTAAGAAGGGGCATGAGTCAAACTTATTACAACTTATTCTTTCTAATGCATCCTTTTATAACTAGCATAAACTTTCTCCAGTCCCTTGAGTTCTAGGCCCAGGCTAATTTGGTTGCCACATAAGACAATGTCTTATCTCCTTCCTATTCAGCTGACTTCTACAATCCAAATCAGTTATTAACTCAGATCTAAGTGAAAATGCCTTGAACCAAAGGAGATATGTATTACAAAGTTTAAGTGTGACGCATTATCAAATGTGAATGCCACCTAACTGAAGGGAAGCCCTTTGTAAAATAACCATGACAATTTAGCTAGTTCACATACTTTTCATGACAACCTCCAATTCTTTTGTGGTTACTATAGACAAATTATTTTAGTAAATAAGATATTTGACTTATAAGTTATTTAACTTATCTGAATTATGCAGAAATAAGTTAAAAATTTGAGGCCTCTAGGCTTCACATTTCCAAAGGGGACAAAGCAACTCTCTTCTGCTTCCTTACCTTGTTCGATATTGGGGATGCAGCACATATACGCCATCCTGATATTTTTCTTGCACAGTTTCTCGGTCTAGATTTGCCAGGATTCTGGCAGCGTGTGAGGACTCCATAATGTGGGGAGATTTCATTGCTTCTGCCATGATGGAAACCCAGCCTGGTGAAAAGTACACATATCCTAAATACTGATGTGAATCCATCGCAGACCACAGAGAGAGTGAGGTTTCAAACTGAATATGATGGGAGAAAGGCAAACCTTGCGTGTCTGTCCTTGGCGGAGAAGTCCGACTATTCCAACCCCATTCTGCCCTACGATCCTCTGAGACCTGTGGCACAATACCATCCACATACCCCTTAAGGGACCTCAAAGAAGGAAAGAGGGGTTGAAGAGCCATTTTCTTTATTTAGAAAGCCTAACACTAATACCAATTATAGAGGTGTTCATAGCAGTTATAGAGGTGTTCACAAAAGTGAACAAAATACCATGATGTTTTGCTTTTAACAAGAATTATGAAACTCAGTGGGTTAATACTAGTTATTTCATCCTGACCAGCAATCAGTAATACCCTTTCATACAAATGAAGAAACTATTTCTTAACAATGAATTTGAGACACAAAACTCTTGTAGAATCTGGAGATCAGGAAGGAAAAAACATTTTTTAAAGGGAGGCAAACAGAAAATGCATGGATAATACTATCTATGCTATGATTTCTTTTTTTTAATGTTTTTGTTTTTAAAACTTTATATACATAAATATAAAAGTACATGTGCACACACATACACAAACACACAAAGATCTATACACTAAACTTATAAAGTCGTTACCTTTTAGGAGAGAGATAGGGTAGAAGAGGGCTCTGTAAAAAACGTATGTTTAGCTTTTTCGCTATATCTATTTTCTGAAGTACGGTGAAAAATCTATGTATTTATTTATATAATTTATTTAATTTAAAATAAAGCAGAATATGGGCCTTGAAGTTAGACTTGGGCTCACATTTCTGCTCCCTCCTTACTTGCTCTGGAACCTCAGTCAAGTTATTTAGCAACTGAACTAGAGGAAGGTTTTAATAAACTAATGTATGTGAAAACCGTGGGCCCAGGCCCAGCAGGCACTCAATACACGACAGCTGTCCCCATGCCCTTCTCCCACTCTTTACGACAAAAGTGTTGAGTCACTGTGATGATGGGAAGCTAGCATTTAATAACCTAAAAGAAGCTTCAGACTCAGTACTTAACAATATTCAAATTTATAACATCAGAAGATTCCTCTTCAAAATCTGTTAAAGATTTTAAAATAATAAAATAAGAATATTTAAAAATTATATCTATAGAGATAGACAAGTATGTTATTGGTATATATGAAAATACGGCTTTATTTTTAATGAAGTCACAAGAAAAAGCATGGTACAAGCCATCTCTGGCTTTTTTCAGTTGACAAAATATGTTCACAATGTCCGAGATACTCCACCTTTGAAAAATATCAAATGCCCTTTGGAAAACTTACTTCTTTAACATTGAGCATTTTAAAATTATATAACATCTGAATGCACTCATGCAAAACACATAATAATGTTTCAGTCAACAATGAACCACAAATACTATGGTGATCCCATAAGATTATAGTACAGTATTTTTGCTGTGCCTTTTCTATGTTTAGCTGTGTTTAGATACTCAAATATTTCCCATTGTGTTACAACTGTCTACAGTGTTCAGTACAGTAACCTGCTGTATAGGTTTGGAGCCTAGGAGCAATAGGCTGTCCCATACAGCCTAGGTGTGGAATAGGTGCTACCATCCAGGTTTGTGTAAGTATACTTTGCGATGTTTGCACAGTGACAAAACTGCCTAACGATACATTCCTCAGAATGTTTCTCCACTATTAAGCAATGCATGTCTGTACATGTTAACTGTAAAAAATAATGAAATAACTAAAAGTAGCATCTAATGATGAAAGTCTTGCTTTAGTACTCCCATAATTTCCCAACTCCATTTACATCCTCAGAGTAATGAAAGGTAGAAGTTTGGTGGACACCCTTTTGAAAAATATAGTCATATATCTATAATTTAAACACATACAATGGGCCAGGCGTGGTGTTTCATGCCTGTAATCCCAACACTTTGGGAGGCTGAGGCAGGCAGATCACTTGAGGTCAGGAGTTCAAGACCAGCCTGGCCAACATGTGAAACCCCATCTCTACTAAAATTACAAAATTAGCCGGGTGTGGTGGTGGGCGCCTGTAATCCCAGCGACTCAGAAGGCTGAGGCATGAGAATCACTTGAACCCGGGAGGTGGAGGTTGCAGGGAGCCAAGATAGCGCCACTGCACTCCAGCCTGGGCAACAGAGTGAGACGCTGTCTCAAAGAAAAAGAAAAATGTAGCTCTATGTGCACTTTTTGAAACCTAAATGGAATCATACTACTGTTCTGTGTCTGTACTTCAGCAGTATGTCTTGGAGAGCTCTCTATATATATCAACTTCATTCCTTTGAACTATAGTATTACGTCACATGAGTACGCCATTGTTTAACCACTATTCATTCCTATTGGCAGACATTTAGGTTGCTCCAACTTTTGTAAATCTGAAGGCAAAAATCTGCAGATCTGATACTAAGATTGATACAAAATATATAAAAAGAGGGAAAGACACAGGATGCCTAAAGAGAAAAAAACACAGGGCAAGTTAGCAGAATTCAAATTGGAGTACTGAGAAGTAATGAAGGCTGAGCAAAAAGAAGGTATATGTAGGTAACTCTTTCAGAAGTTTAGCTATAACAGGGAGGACAGGATGTTATAGGGGATGCAGATTATGTTTTTCACATCTTCCTCCAATGTATGTGATCAGAGGGTCCAGCTATGAGGCAGCAGCTGACCATGAGACCAGAAAAAAGTATACATTCCTGAGACTGTGAAAGGAGACAGGCCCAAACATGGCTGGAGGGCTTATAAAAGAGGTGTCTCTTTTCCTATTACCAAGAAAAGGAAAGAACAGGGTTTGGTTTTTGTTAGTGAGAAAATTCCTTTTAGGGCTTCAATTGTCTCAGTAAAGTAGGAGGAGAAGTCATCCTCTGAGAGGAAGGAATATGTGGAAGGTTTAAGGAACACGTAGAAGGTTTACAATAGTCATTGCTAAGAATGTTAAGGTAGCTGATTGGAGAAACATAATTGCTGAGCAATATTGAAGGTTCTTTAATTTGTGATCTCATAAGCATGCTGACAACCAATCTGCAATGATTCCACGTTCAGCCACAGAGTAGTAAGCAGGCAGTAGGTTTCATCAAGGTCTTGACCAAGAGACTGGTAACAGGATCAAAGGGAAAGGGAGTTGTAGGTACTGGCAAAAATATTACTGAAATAACAGACCATGGAATATAAGCTGGGTTCAGGGAGGAAGTAAAGAATAAAAAGAGTGATGGATTGGGAGAGGATAAAGGGGTCTGTGGATAGAAGATTTCAATAGAGAAGAAAACCAGTCCTTATGGGGTAGATGCAAAAACAAGCTTGAATGAAAGAAGGATGTGCTCAGGGCTGATTTTTAGGTGAAGTGGTTTCAGGCAGTGATTAGGTTCAATGTATGACTTAGGAGTAGAGTACTAGACAACTCAGGAGCAGAGCAGGAAATCAATGAAGATGAGAAGGTCATGGAATTGAGGCCAAGGTGGTGAGTGGGCTATCCAGGAGATAAGAGGACTGAAGACTTGGGGTAGACCCAGGTTTCAGAGAAGAGTCATTTTTTTTTCTATAATAAGATACTGATTTGATCAGGTCTTTGTCCTGCTTTGAATCCCTTAGTCTCCACCTCATCAATGAACCTGTAGATAGGTCAATAGAAACCATCCAAAGTAAAGCACAGAGGAAAAAATTTAAACATAATGAATAGAATCTCAATAACCTGCAGGACAGAAAAAAGAGATCTAATATACATAACAGAAGTTCCAGAAAAAGATAAGAATAAAAAAGGACAAAAGAATAAATATTGGATGATATACTGGCAGGAAAGTTTCTACATTTGATCAAAAACACCAACCCATCAATACAAGGTATTGTATTCTTGAAAATTGCTGACAGAATAGATTTTAAATGTTCTCACCACAAAAAATGATATGTATAAGGTAATGCATATGTTAATTCTCTCAGTTCAGTGGAGCTCAAGCAGGATAAATATGACACCTAGGCATTTCAGAGTCAAAAATCAAACAGAAAGATCTTAAAAGAAGCCAGAGGAAAAAAGATATTACGTATAAGAGAACAAAAGTGGGAATTCAAAGAGACTTCTCATCAGACAATGGACTCCAGAAGAGAGTGGAATGACATTTTAGAAATGCTGGAAAACACACACACACACACACACACACACACACACACACACACATACACACTCAACAAAGAATACTTTATCCAGGGAAGATACCTTTTCCTGGACATAAAATAAAGGCAAATTAAAGACATTTTCAAATAATGAGGTGAGAGAATTTGTTGCCAGTGGACCCAATACACAAGAAATACTAAAGGAAAGTCTTTAGGCTGAAGAGAAATATTATCAGATGTAAATCCATATATACAGAAAAAAGGGAGAGCACTGGAGATTATAAATATGCAAACAAAAAAGATTTTTGATTTCTTATATTCTTTAAATGTCACACGACTGTTCCTATGGTTTCAATGTGTCCCCTCCAAAATTCAAGTGTTGCCAATGTGACAGTATGAAGAGGTGAGCCTTTAAGAGGTGACTGGGCCATCAGTGTTCCTCCCACATTAATAGAATTAATTCATGTTTGAAGTGATTGCTATCCCAACTGCCCTGACTTGATCACTACACATTGTATGCTTGTATCAAAATATCACTACATATTTACATCCTCATAAATATGTACAACTATCATGTACATAAAATTTTAAATTCAAAAATTTTTAAATAAAAAAATAAAAGAGGCTTCATGCAACATGCAGGCTAGCTTGCCCTTCAGTCTTCTGCCATGTGACGATAAAACAATGAGGCCCTCACAAGACACCAATGGCCAGAACCTTGATCTTGAACTTCCCAGCCTCCAGAACTGAGACACAATAAATCTGTTATTTATAAATTACCCAGCCTCCAACATACAGCCTCAGGTTACAGCAGCACAAAATGAACTAAAGCAACTATTATAAATAACAACAATGTAACCAGGCACAGTGGCCCAAACATATACTCCCAGCTACTCGTGAGGCTAAGGTAGGAAGATCACTTGAGCCTAGGAGTTTGAGGACAGCCTGGGCAACACAGCAAGACCCTGTCTCAAAAAATAATAATAACAATGATAATGTATTGTGAAGTCTATAAATAAGAGTAAAACATATTACAACAATACCACAAAGAATGGCAGGGGATGTGAACTGAATTATGGGGTTGTAAGGATCTTACATCATATGAAATGGCATAATCTTAATTCAAAGTAGACTGTAAGGATACAACCATTAAACACACAAACACAGTATAAAAAGCCAAAAGAGGAGAAACAACAGAATTTAAAAACAAACACTCAAGTAATACAAGAAGTCAGAAAAAAGAAGAAAAAGAGGGACAAATAGAAAGCAAAGAGCAAGATGACCAACATAACCAAACGATATCAATAATTACATTAGTAAGTGTTGAAAGTATATCTTCCATCCCACAACACACATATATGTGTACATATACATTTACACATATTTGTGTATGTATGTATATCTATATATATATGTGTGTATGTATTATCCAGCTCTTTCTAGTGAAAGAGGCAAGAAGCAAAGACACCCCAGGAGCAATATGCACTCCTATCATTTAGACCTTGGTCTCTAAGAATCATTCTCCACTAAAAGTATAGAGGTTTCTTCAGAGAAATGAACCTAAAATATCTTGTTATACCAGGAAATAAGAAATGCCTCCCCAAAATAATGTGGGCATATCATAAAGGACATGGGCCAGTTTGCTGGGGCTCCCATTAGTCAAAGCTGGAACAATTTGGCACCAAATTATTAAGTACAGCAATAAATTATAAACTTTTAAAAATAGGAATTCATGTACCTGTCCATAGAAGGGAGGGAGGAGATGGAGGGAGGGAGGAGGGAAAGAGAAGGACTCTTGCTTCCAGTAGAATGCCAAATGCTAAAAAGTAACTGCAGAGGGTGTGCTGGAGCTAGAAAATCATTTTAAAACCATTATGGTAAAGACTAGATCGGGCAGGAACTGTCAGAGGATAGAAAGCAGGATATTTGCTTGGTCTTAAAGTATCTCCCCACAGCTGGTTTATTACTTGCAAGAGGGAAAATCATTAATCATAAAATGAATCTCTTTTTAGTCTGACTATGCCTCTTGGTTAACCAAATCACATCAAAAATTACAGGCCAGGCATGGTAATCTCAACACTATGGGAGGCCAAGGCAGGGGGATCACTTGAGTCCAGGAGTTCGAGACCAACCTAGGCAACAAAGTAGGACCCCCGTCTCTACAAAAAGTTTTTCAAATTAGCCATGCACAATGGCACGTGCCTGTAGTCCCAGCTACTCGGGAGGCTGAGGTGGGAGGATCCATTGAGCCTAGGAGTTTAAGGCTGTAGTGAGCTATGACCACACCACTGCACTCTAGCTTCAGCAACACAGTGAGATTCTCTCAAAAAAAAAAAAAAATTACATAAATAATTAGATGATCATCATGGCAAACCTGCTCTCCTATGATCATCTACAATACTGATTATCTTAGGCGCAGATTATCTACAATCTCAAGCAATTCCTTGCCTCTACCAAAATAACATGTTCTAAGGACCCATAACTAACCCTAAGTAGAGCCTTGTCTATTGAAAAATGAACATATCTCGGCCCCCCCGCCCAGCCAGCCGCCCTGTCCGGGAGGTGAGGGGCGCCTCTGCCCGGCCGCCCCTACTGGGAAGTGAGGAGCCCCTCTGCCCGGCCAGCCGCCCCGTCCGGGAGGGAGGTGGGGGGGTCAGCCCCCCTGCCCGGCCAGCCGCCCCGTCCGGGAGGTGAGGGGCGCCTCTGCCCGGCCGCCCCTACTGGGAAGTGAGGAGCCCCTCTGTCCGGCCACCACCCCGTCTGGGAGGTGTGCCCAACAGCTCATTGAGAACGGGCCAGGATGACAATGGCGGCTTTGTGGAATAGAAAGGCGGGAAAGGTGGGGAAAAGATTGAGAAATTGGATGGTTGCCGTGTCTGTGTAGAAAGAAGTAGACATGGGAGACTTTTCATTTTGTTCTGCACTAAGAAAAATTCCTCTGCCTTGGGATCCTGTTGATCTGTGACCTTACCCCCAACCCTGTGCTCTCTGAAACATGTGCTGTGTCCACTCAGGGTTAAATGGATTAAGGGCGGTGCAAGATGTGCTTTGTTAAACAGATGCTTGAAGGCAGCATGCTCGTTAAGAGTCATCACCAATCCCTAATCTCAAGTAATCAGGGACACAAACACTGCGGAAGGCCGCAGGGTCCTCTGCCTAGGAAAACCAGAGACCTTTGTTCACTTGTTTATCTGCTGACCTTCCCTCCACTATTGTCCCATGACCCTGCCAAATCCCCCTCTGTGAGAAACACCCAAGAATTATCAATAAAAAAATAAATTTAAAAAAAAAAAAAAAAAAAAAAAAAAAGAAAAATGAACATATCATGAGGGGTAGAGGTGGGAGAACAAAGTAAAAAATACTCAGTATATAAAGCTGTTACCTGAGCGAACTATAGAAGAATGAAGATGTTCATTCAAAGCCATATTTCCAATGACACGCATTATATTTCTCTGTACTTTAGGGCAGTCCTTGTGAAGTCGGTACAGCCTCTGAAGTAGCTGCAGGCCTCCATTTGCTTCGATTTTATCACAATGTGTGGATATCTGGCACAATAAATAAACAGAAGCTCCCTTGACATTGTACAAATTCATGACGTGAGATGACACAGCCTGGTCATGGGGACAGCTAGGTAGCTCCCACTCAAGGGCAGGGATGCAGGGAGACTCCTCAAAGCTCTTGTCTCAGCTTGCTTAAATAAGCAAATCCCTATTTAAGTGGGAAGTGCTTCAAAATCATAGAAAAAATCCCAAGAAGGCATCTCTCACCAGGACTACTAAAATCATTATTCTCATTCTGCTTAGCTCTTGGTTGGATGTAACCTGACAATGTCATTATTACAAAATTGTTTCAATTTATAGTGACACTTTGACTTGAAATTACCTTAAAACAGTTCTCACCTTGAAAAATCTGCCACCTATTCTCAGGAAATAGTCCCCTGTGCAAGCGAACAGATTTCATTCAGCAAACAAGGACTCACACAGGGCGAGACCAGTGACCTCTGTGGCCCCACACCCTATCCCACACAATGCCCACAGCTATGGGGCTGGCCTCAAACTTAGAAGTTGGAAGATTTTTTAAAAGAGAAAGATCAGGTAAAAATAAAAAGGGATTTGAAGTTTTAATGGAGAAAACAGATAAAAGAAAAAGAAAACATGCATATTGAGTTAAGGGAAGAGAACTGACCAACAAGTCAGTCTTTCTAATGTCACTGGGCACAGCTTTGCCTCTTCCCATCACTAGTTTTACTCAAGGACATGACACCATATGTACATACAGCAATTTTCACTTTCTAGATTTTTGTTACATTATATCACATTTTAAGTGCCTTAAAATGTATGCCTTTTAAATATACTGTATATCAAGTGAGATCTGCAATAATTTCAGAGATTTCTGGAAAGATAACTATTATATTCCATGCACTGTCCTTTCTACTGAAGATGCAGCTATTGCTTCAGAAAAACAACTCAGGAGACACCACACTCGAGCAAGTTTTCCCAGGTCCCTTCTGTACTACAACACCTTATTCCCTCTGCTTTGTGGTCAGTTCCTAATTTCATGGGCGAGAACTAAAGATGACTTTCTACACATGGCTTTTAAGCCATGTCCAATGTGTCCCAAAACTGAACTGGAGAGTTCCGAATCTCAAGGATGGTGTTTGTCTTGATGTGGGACAGATCACCTGCATTCACCTCACCAGGGTGCTGGCTACAAATGCAAATTCCTGGACTCCACACCAAATCTATGATGTTAAACTTGATACAAGTGAGTGGAAAAATGTGCATTTTAAAACACATTTCCTGGGTGATGTTTCTGCACTATGAGCACTACAAGGTTTGTTGCTTTTTTCTTTTTTAAACTATCATCATGACAGAAAAGTTTCTATGGTACCAAAGAGTTTAACAATCATTGATATATGCTACAGTTACACTTCAAGAGTATAGTCATCTAATATTTCCTTGTTTTTTTTTGTTTTGTTTTTTTTTTTTTGAGATGGAGTCTTGCTCTGTCGCCCAGGCTGCAGTGCAGTGGCACAATCTCAGTTCACTGCAACCTCTGCTACCCAGGTTCAAGCGATTCTCCTGCCTCAGCCTCCAAGTAGCTGGGATTACAGGTGCGCACCACCACACCTGGCTAATTTTTGTATTTTTAGTAGAGACGGAGTTTCACCATGTTGGCCAGGCTGGTCTTGAACTCCTGACCTCAGGTGACCCACCCGCCTCAGCCTCCCAAAGTGCTGGGATTACAGGCGTGAGCCACCGCGCCCAGCCTGTTTTTTCTTTTATCCTGTCACATCTTTGGCAGTTGTTTTAATGGAAATTATCTGAAAATAATATGTAAAAATATCTGAGAAAGGCAGTAGAAGACAACATAACTCAAAGGCAAATGCCACATTTAGATGATAGGCTGCTTTCTTTTAGGCAATTAAATAAATTTTTAGAAATACTTAGCAAAATAGAATCTCATTTATTGGTGCTAAATCATGATTATTCTAACAATTAAAATTGGAGGAAAGCAGAAATTTAAAAATAAGTGAAGGGCTTTTCTCCTTTTACAGTAAATGATTATTGCCCTTGCAAAAATCAACCTATATAATTATTTCAATAAAATCATAAAAAGTAAACTACATTTTGAAAATGTAAATTACCTCAGAATGTTTTACTATAGCTTCTAAACAGAACATTTCCACTGTTGCTGAAGGAACTTCTCCAAAACTTTCAGCATAAGGAAGTCCATTTCCTCCAAAACACCATAAACCACCCTGAAATTAAAATAATTAAAATTTTTACTGAAAAAAAGTGACTAATATTTTTGTTTGACAAAAAAAAAGAAATCTCTGTACTAATAGATGGTGTTAGAAAATACTAATGTGTAGGGCCTCAAAATATGTTGGAAATGTAAAAGGAACTTTATGCAAACTGTGGGTTATCAGAATAGAAAACATACAAATTATTCCAAGAAGAGCGCAACCTGTGTCCTCGTCAAGTCTCTCCTCTGTGTCCTTTTGTATGAAAGTGTGAAGACTAACTCACAATTCTTTTAACAAGTAAGAAAAGCCCAGGATGTTCTAGTGTCATCTCTTTCAGCCCCCAGTAGTCACTACAGTATATTATTTTCCAGATTCTGCTAATAGCCTACTTAAAGTCTAATAATCAATATAATTCAAAAGATATAAAGCATTATTGGACAAGTTAAAAAGAAAGAACACGATGACAATGATCACAGAGCTTTCAATTCTTCTTAAGTTGAAATTCAATTCAAGTTCTTATGGAAGGATAAACAAAAATCGTTACAAAAATTACAAAACAGAAGAGTAGTGGGGACTATTTCTAACATATTAAAACATAAATAAAAACATTTCAATTTTCTATTGAATGTTTTCAAAATTAAAGCATTTCAATTTCAACTCTTATCACAGATCAAGGGTTAATGTCACTAATATGCAATAATCTCCTACAAGTCAGTGACAAAAAATACCAACACTATTATAGAAATACAAGCACAGTCATAAACATAAAGTTGTTAGGAAAATAAATACAATGCCTCTAAAATATATAAGAATATATTATAAATTATATATTATATATTTATATATTGTATAGTATATATTTACATTTATTATATACTAATATACTATATATTTATATCTATATATTATATATGTAAATTATATAATATATTTATATTTATATTTTTATATTTTAGAGGCATATTTCTAAATATAATTCATTATATATAAAATACATAAATATAATATAAATATATTTTTTGTATATTTATTTTATAAATATATATAAACAACGCTCAGCACTGTTCATAATGAGAGGCGTGCACACTGAAAGGACACTAAGAAGCTACATTTGTCATCCATCGAACAGACGAGGTTCTAGGGAAACAAGCACGCACAGCACCCTGCTGCGAGTGGTATCAATGGCACGACTTCTATGGAGGACAACCTGGCATCGGTGATCAAGATCACAAGTGCACATGCCCTTTAATAATTGATCCTACAGAGATGCTCACACACAGGGAAAGTGATAGATATGCAAGTTTGCTAGCTGCTGCATTGTTTGTATAATAATAAAGACTGAAAACCAGCTAATATTTATCAATGGGGGTTAGTTAAATCAATTATGGTACAGTTGTACAATGGAATGCCATGCCGGTCTGAAAATTTTGAGTCTCTTCTTACACTGATATATACCAATCTCCACAATAATCCTTAAGTGAGAAAAAGGTATAGAACAGTGTGTATGTATCCTATGCTACTACTCGTGTAGAGAGAGAGAGTGTGTGTGTTGGGGTAGGAGAGATGGAAGGAATGGAGAGAAGATGTATTGCTGCATTGCTGTAGGTGCTTTGGAAGTGCTTCACTTTGGAGCTAGGGTCATAATTGTGTGCATACAGCCCACCTGCTGGCAAAAGAGGACAACTACAAGGTAATGGCTAAAAAATGTATATATTAATATAAAGCCCAGTGTTTTCCATAGGAAATATAATCCATAAGATTCTGCATTTTTAGTTAATTTATAAGGTCCATGGTTCAGTAAACCAACTAAAAATAATTTTTGGCCACTCTATACTTTTTATTCATGCCTTCTTCTCGTATATAATATTATTTTTTTCTAAATTTAAACATGCTTGGATCTCAGAGTCACATCATTTAAACTGAGGACTGAGATGGGGCTAAGTCATGAAAAGTCGTCCTTCTCTGGCAGAGACAATGGTAAATAGTGGATTGGTAAGCTTTGTCGGGGGGTAGGAATTTTTAGTTGAAGATTTATCGCCACATCCTGGCTCCCCCAAACCCCTCTTCCCACCTTGTACCCTTGAATTATCTATCTCATCTAGTTCTACTCTAAATTCCCCAAGGACAGAGAGGAGAGAAGGCAAAGAAAAATGATCTAGGACTTTCATTTGTCTTGGCCATTTCCGCAGTGTGATGTAGAGTGCAGTTCCCATTTCATTCTCACTTTTGGCGAAGCTTGTTACCTATGAATTGGCAGATTTTGTGGCAGTAAGAAGTACAAGCAAAAAGGAATGAATACAAAGGAACAAACTCACAGTATGGTTGTATGGATTATATTCTAAACCCTAATGTAAAAATAAATGTACATAGTTACTGCTACTTTATACTGAACTAAGATATGACAAGACTAAATAAATTCATAAAGATTTAAGAAACACCAAACATCAAATTCTATGAGTGCAACAAAAAATAATTTTATAAGGATTAAGGAAGTGCACAGGAAAAGCTAGAGAATGACAATATTAAAAACAATAATAAAGAGTAGGTACAGGCCGAGCGTGGTAGCTCACGCCTGTAATCCCAACACTTTGGGAGGCTGAGACAAGTGGATTGCTTGAGCCCAGGCGTTCAAGACCAGCCTGGTCAATACAGTGAAACCCCATCTCTACAAAAAATTAGCTGGGCAAGGTGGTGCACACCTGCTGTCCCAGCTACCCGGGAGGCTGAGGTGGGAGGATTGCCTAGCCCAGGGAGGTCAAGGCTGCAGTAAGCCATGATCATGCCACTGCACCCCAGCCTGGGCAACAGAGTGAGACCCTGTCTCAAACAGACAAAAAAAAAAAAGGAATAGGTAGAAAAATGGAAAGGCAACAGTAATATAAAAGAGCTAATCTCTGGTGTTAATTTTTTTTTTTTTTTTTTTTTTTTTGAGATGGAGTCTCTCTCTGTCGCCCAGGCTGGAGTGCAGTGGTGCAATCTCAGCTCGCTGCAAGCTCCGCCTCCCGGGTTCAAGTTATTCTCCTGCCTCAGCCTCCTGAGTAGCTGGGACTATAGGCATGTGCCACCACGCCCAGTTAATTTTTTGTATTCTCAGTAGAGATAGGGTTTCACCATGTTAGACAGGATGGTCTCGATCTCCTGACCTCGTGATCCGCCCGCCTCGGCCTCCCAAAGTGCTGGGATTACAGGCGTAAGCCACTGCACCTGGCCCATCTCTGGTGTTTCTTCATAAAAAGTTACAACCTTAGAGCTCTGTGATTTGTGCAAACTAACTGGGCTTTAAAATGATGTTCATTCTAAAGCAAGAGTTTTTAACAAGGGTCCTTAGGGGTATGGGGTAGATAGAATTCAAGGCAGGTAGGGTGTAAACTTGGATGGAAAAAAAAATTACCTTTGTTTTTTCCTAACCTCTAACTGATATTCTGCATAGTATTCAGTTATGAACACAGACAATAAACCACAGTAACACTAGCAGTACCTGTGATTCTAGCAGTAAGGGAAAGCACAGGTATTTTCATATCACATCTCATGTTGCAGCTATCTGAAAATACGGTTATATTCACTCTTCCTTTCAATGCCAACTATCACCAAACGGTGAAGTTGCACATTCTCATACTAGTGATCCCAAATCTACACTGCTTTCAGCATTCCCTAGCAACAATGGTTTGAGATCAACAGTTCAATGTTCTTATTCAGTGAAGCATCAACAGCATTCACACTGATGTCATTAAAAAATAAAAGGTACATATTGAATGGAACCATATGAAGCTGCCTCTTTCCCCAGCTCTATCCACTGAAGGCCTGAAAGCAATGACAGCAGCAATGAGCTTACCTAGCCCAGAACTTGGTTACTAAATACCATTAGCCCTAAAAGGAACCAAGCCTGCTTAAAAAATCAGCTTATTCTAGGGCTAGAACAGGGAAAGTCTAAGATGAACATTTTCTAATACCAAAAAATAAGCAAGAACTCCAAAAATAATGAATGAAACCATTTACAAAAGACATGGGAGACAACCTGAAGGGGCTCCCACAGCCAAACCTGGGACAATTTGAACATCAGTATGAATAAGGATAGTAAGAGATTATAATCTAGTGAAGAAAAATAACCATGTGTTATCCCATATGGATTAGAAAAGCAGAAAGGAGAAATGAGAGGAAGAAGAAAGCTTTTCCTACAGAAGAATACTAAATAAATGAGTAAGGAGTAATAAAATTAGGGGGAAAAACTCAGCATTTTGCAACCACCTAACAATAACTGTTATTCAGGCAACATTCATTCAAAGATTATTATTAAATAAAACCACTGGCTGAAAGTTTGAAGAGCAACAGGACAGTCTCCTAATCTCAAAGTATCTCCTCCTCCTAAAATCGTGTATTAATTTCAAATACATAAATATATTAACATTCAAGCAGAGAAAACTGGCAGACATCACTTTAACCAAGTGAACAAAGGAAACATCAGCCAATAAGTGTTGAGCTGGCATCACGTGCTTCTGGGCATGACATACTGGGAAGGACACAAAATCACCTCTATCGTATTCCTGTAATAAATGCACACTCAAATTTAATCATGAGGAAGCATGAGACAAACTAAACTAAGGGCCAATCTACAAACCACTGCTTTGTACTCTTCAAAAATGTCAATGTCATGAAGACAGAGAAAGGCTGAAAAAATTTTCAGGTAAAAGGAGACTAAATACACAAGACTCACATGCAATGCTTAATACCAGACTAGATCCTGAAATAGATTTTTTAAAAAGAAAAAAGCTGTCATAGGCTGGGTGCAGTGGCTCATGCTTATAATCCCAGCACTTTGGGAGGCCAAGGCAGGCAGATCACCTGAGGTCAGGAGTTCGAGACCAGCCTGATCAACATGGTGACATCCCGTCTCTACTAAAAATACAAAATTAGTCAGGCATGGTGGCGGATATGCCTATAATCCCAGCTACTCAAGAGGCTGAGGCAGGAGAATTGCTTGAACTGGGGAGGCGGAGGTTGCAATGAGCCGAGATCGCGCCACTGCACTCCAGCCTGGGTGACAGAGCGAGACTTCATCTCAAAAAAAAAGCTGTCATAAAAGAATTACCGGGAAAATTCAAATATGGAGTATTCAAATATTAGACAACAATATTATACCAATATTAAATTTTCTGAATCGATAACTGTACTGTGGTTCTTTCAGGGAATGTCCTTGGGGCATCAGGTCTGTACCTAATGAATGGCTCAGGCAGAAAAATATTAAATGTGTGTGAATAGGTCCGTTAAAATATACCTGCAGAGAGATGGAAAGTAAAAGGGAGGGATGATATAACAAATGGGATAAAATGTTAGTAATTGGTGAATCTTTTTTTTTGAGACGGAGTCTCACTCTGTCACCCAGGCTGGAGTGCAGTGGTGCAATCTTGGCTCACTGCAAGCTCTGCCTCCCCGGTTCACACCATTCTCCTGCCTCAGCCTCCCAGGTAGCTGGGACTACAGGCACCTGCCACCACGCCTGGCTAATTTTTTTGTATTTTTAGTAGAGATGGGGTTTCACTGTGTTAGCCAGCATGGTCTCAATCTCCTGACCTCATGATCCGCCTGCCTCGGTGTCCCAAAGTGCTGGAATTACAGGCGTGAGCCACTGCGCCCAGCCAGTAATTGGTAAAACTTAATGAAATGTATTATTTTCGCAATTATTTAAATTTGAAATTATTCCAAAATAAAAAGAGAAAAATTTTAATTAACTTCAACTTTCATGTTTTAAATATATTTTCTTATTATTGAATGCATCCATACATATATTAATTATATCAGAATTTATTTTCTCTTTTGATAACAGTATTTCAATATAATTTGTTTCCTTTGTAATCTTATGTATTATATTTTATGCATTTAGAACTGAGTTCCTAGACTTTACCAAATCACCAAAGGAGTCCATGGTATTCAAAGGTTAAGAACCCTGTTCCAAAACCAAGCATTATCGTGTTGGCTGTATGCTGGGGCTGACAGTCGCCTCTGTACGTGAGGAGTTTTGTTTTATTTTTTAGAGATGGGGTTTCACTATGTTGCCCAGGTTGGAGTGCAGTGGCTGTTCACAGAAACTATCATAGAGCACCGCAGCCTCGAACTCCTGGACTGAGGTATCCTCCTGCCTCAGCCTCCTCAGTAGCTGGGACTACAGGCATGGGCCACTGTGCCCAGCTTGAAAGCAGTTTTATATAGAAACAGCACACTGACACTGAAGGGCCCTTGGGGACCACTATGAGGCAGGTCTGTCATAAACTGGGCAGACAGATCACTACAAACCAGATGGACTCTCTCCACCCACCATGTCAGCACCCCCAGCTTCCTGGCATATGTGAAATCCAGGAGGCATGATAAACTTGAGGCAGAGTAGGGGGAATAAGAATAACTAAAAGGCAGCCAGGTGCAGTGGCTCATGCCTGTAATCCCAGCACTTTGGGAGGCCAAGGCAGGCGGATCACGAGGTCAAGAGATCGAGACCATCCTGGCTAACATGGTGAAACCCCGTCTCTACTAAAAATACAAAAATCAGCTGGGCATGGTGGCTCGCGCCTGTAGTCCCAGCTACTTGGGAGGCTGAGGCAGGAGAATCGCTTGAATGCGGGAGATGGAGCTTGCAGTGAGCCGAGATCAAGCCACTGCACCCCAGCCTGGCAACACAGCGAGGCTGTGCCTCAAAAAAAAAAAAAAGTAAAAAGCAGTGCTTACTCGCCTAAAGAGATGAGACATTAGAATTACAATTAAATATTTATTTAAATATTAAATTAATTAAATATATGCTACCTCTTGTTTAAAAAAAAAGAACAGGGACTCAAATCAAAGTGAAACTAGTGCCTTCCAAGTGGAAAAATCAAAGGTGCTTCATTAAACATAAAGCATTCGTTGTTTTTTGTTTGTTTGTTTGTTTTTTGAGACGGAGTCTTGCTCTGTCATTTAAAAAAAAAATACTAAAAACAATGTATTTACTTAAAGGATGGATATATGTGTCTGTGATCTGCCCAAGCAGAATGGAAATGTTTCAAGTGTCAGTTTCATCATTTCCAGTGTGATCTATGGCTCCTAAACACACTGAATTGGAGTAGCATAAAGACAATGCAATCAAAAGGTCATACGGGCCAGGCACGGTGGCTCTCACCTGTTATACTAGCACTTTGGAAGGCTGAGGCAGGGTGGACCTCTTGAGCCAGGAGTTCGAGACCAGCCTGGGCAACATGGCGAAACCCCGTCTCTACCAAAAATACAAAAAAAATTAGCCAGGCATAGTGGTACACGCCTGTAGTCCCAGCTACTTGGGAGGCTGAGGTGAGAGGATCACTTGAGCCCAGAAGGTGGAGGTTGTAGTGAGCTGAGACCATGCCACCGTACTCCAACCTGGGTGACAGAGTGAGACCCTCATCTCAAAAAAAAGGTCATACGAATTACTTTTTCAGAAAAACTTTGGTTAGGGGAAGATCTTTAAAATGAGGCACCTGAAATGGGTAGGGGAGGGTGGTGGAGAAGTTGTCAGAAGACGCAGGTCCTCTCCAAGGCGGTGAATGTTAAAACACACAAACACATGATATGTTAACTATGAACACACACACACATATGCACAAGGCCAATTTAAACTATGTAACTCTTTAAACTACTGGCTGAGGCCAAGAATTCTGCACCAAGCAGCAGCATAGTGGGGCCAGTCACAGTGGCTCACGCCTGTAATCCCAGCACTTTGGGAGGCCAAGGCGAGCAGATTACCTGAGGTCAGGAGTTCGAGACCAGCCTGACCAACATGGTGAAACCCCATCTCTACTAAAAATACAAAAAAATTAGCCTAGTGTGGTGGCACATGCCTGTAGTCCCAGCTAGTCGGGAGGCTGAGGCAGGAGAATTGCTTGAGCCCAGGAGGCAGAGGTGGTAGTGAGTCGAGATCACACCACTGAACTCCAGCCTGGGTGACAAGAGGGAGACTCTGTCTCAAAAAAAAAAAAAAAAAAAAAAGGTAGCATGGTGGTATTAAACCACTTTCCCTCTCTTCACTTGGCAAAAGGTAAGGTTACAGAACACTACAGAAGGTAGAGGAATATTAACTAAATAGTAACGTCAGGCCAGGTCTCAGGAGCTCCGACATGGGGGTGCAGGAGATAATTTAGTGATGGGAGTGGGAGACACCATGGCAGAACACAGAGAAGTACACAAGACCCTGTCTATAAATAGCCTGGTCCCAACCAAGCTGAAACTATCAGATGTTAGACAAGGCCTGCTGAAATTGAGGTGGTTCCCTGGCTTCCAGATGAAAAGCAGGGGCATAAGAATAGAGAAGGGATGAATACAGATTTAGATAAGAAACTACTTGGCATGACAGGGTTGTGGTTTCCTAGGTTTGACACCAACAGCACAAACAACAAAAGGAAAAAATGTATAAATTGGACTTCATCAAAAATGTTTTTTATTTTTAAATTTTTTTTAGAGACAGGGACTTGTTCTGTTGCCCAAGCTGGAGTGCAGTGGCATGATCACTGCTCACTGCAGCCTTGAATTCCTGGGTTCAAGTGATCCTCCTGCCTTAGCTTCCTGAGAAGCTGGGACCACAGGCACACACCCCACAACTGGTTAATGTTTTTCTTCTTTGTAGAGATAGTCTTGCTATGTTGCCCAGGCTGTTCTCAAACTCCTGGGCTCAAGTGATCTTCCCACCTCAGCCTCCCAAAGTGCTAGGATTACAGACATAAGCCACCATACCTGCCCAGACTTCATCAAAATTAAAACATTTGGGGTGCACAGGTCACTATCAAGAAAGTGAAAAGAACCCACAGAATGGGAGAAATATCTGCAAATTACATATCTAATAAGAGATTTGTATCCAGAATATACAAAGAGTTCTTACAATTCATCAATATAAAGAATTCTTACAATTCAACAATATAAAGAACTCTTACAACTCAACAAAAAATTTCAACTCTTACAATTCAACATATCTAATAAGAGATTTGTATCTAGAATATATCAAGAACTCTTACAATTCAACAACAACAACAAAAAAAGTCCATTTTTAAATTGGGTGCTGCAACATGAAAAGATGCTTCAAAAAGGACAAGTAACCCAATTTTAAAATGAGCAAAGGGAGCCATGGTGGCTCACACCTGTAGCCTCAGCTATTCAGGAGGCTGAGGTGGGAGGATCACTTGAGCCCAGGAGTTCAAGGCTGTAGGGCATGTTATGATTTTGCCTGTGAATAGCTACTGCATTCCAGCCTGGGCAACACAGTGAGACCTCATCTCAAAAACAAAAACAAAATCACTAGTTAAAAAAAAATTGGGCCAAGGATTTGAATAGGTATTTCTCCAAAGAAGATATGTAAGTGCCAACAGCACGTGAAAAGATGCCCAACATCATTAAGCATTAGGAAATGCAAATCAAAGCCAGAATGAAGATACTACTTCACACACAATGGGATGGCTAGAATAAAAGATGGACAATAACATATATTGCTGGTGGGAATGTAAAATGGTAAAGTCTCTGTGGAAAACATTTGAAAGTTACTCAAAAAGTTACTTACCATAACACCCAGAAATTCCACTCCTAGGTATATACTCAAGAAAACTGAACACATACATCCACACAAAGACATGCACATAAATGTTGATATTGAGATCTAATAAGAAATACGTATTTGGTCTCTACCCCTGGTTCCCTCCAGAGTGATGAGTGTCTTTTGTATGCTAATGAGATGACTGGTGGACGGAGGGCCCCTAAATAGTTTCAGGAAGGGGGCTGGTGGCCAGAAAGACTAAGGGCATGATTAGATGGTAGGGACTTTCTGCCCTACTCAACCTCTAGGGAGGACAGAGGGCCTGAAGGTTGAGGTGATCACCAAAGGTCAATGAGTCAATCAATCATGCCAACTGATTAAAACCATGAAAATCTGAAGGACAGGGTTCAGAAAGTTTCTGGATACCGGAACCCGTGGAGATGTCTGGAGGGTGATGCACCCGGAGGGGCATGAAGGCTCAGCGCCCCTTCCTACATAGCTTGCCCTACGCATGTCTTCCATCTGCTGTCCATCCCTCTCCTCTGTCATATCCTTTATAATAAACGGTAAGCATAAGTAAGGTGTTTTTCTGAATTCCATGAGTCGTCCCAGTAAATTAATCAAACCCAAGGTGGGGGTCATGGGCACTCCCAGTTTATGGCTGGTTGATCAGAAGCACAGGTCACACCTGGAACTTGTGACTGGTATCTGAAGTGGGGGGCAGTCCTGTGGGACAGAGCCCTTAACCTATGGGCTCTGACACCATCTCTAGGTAGAGATGTCAGAACTGAACTAAATTGAAGGACACTGAGCTGATGTTTGATGGAGAATTGCTGAGTGTGTAGGGAAAAACCCTCCACACTCCTGGTGTCAGAAGTGTTAAGTGGTGTGAGAAAGTAGGAAAAATGCTTTGCTTTTTTCCTATCTTGTACAGTACAGTTTTTTTTTCCAATGAGAAATGTTCATAGCAGTATTATTCATACATAATAGCCAAACAATAGAATGTTCATAGAAGTATTATTCATACATAACAGCCAAAGAATAGGAATGACCCAAATGTCCATCACTGATGAACAGATAAATAAAATGCGGCATAGCCATACAATGGACTATTACTTGGCCATAAAAAGGAATGAAGCACTGATATGCCACAGTGTGGCTGAGCCTTGAAAACATTATGCTAAGTGAAGGAAGTCAGACACAAAAGGCCACATATTGGATGATTCCATTCATACGAAATGTCCAGAACAGGCCAATCCATAGGAAAAATAGATCAGTGGTTACCAGGGGCTGGAGAGGGGAATGAGTGGTGACAGCTAATGGTTACAGGGTTTCTTTGGGGGATGGTGAAAATATTCTGGAATTAGATTGGAGTAATGATTATACAACTCTATGAGTATATTAAAACCCAATGAATTGTATAGTCTTAAAGGGTTTTATGGTATGTGGATTAAAAAGAAAACTAGTTGAATTGGAAATATCACCATAAATTTAAGACCTTTTAAGAAAAAGGTAATTGTTCTGCTCCGTCACTTAGGTGTCTAGGAGCCCCCAGGGTCCACCAGCTCTACCTTCATGAAGAACTACTATGCACACCTAGTGCCTGGGTTTTGGACTCTTAACCTTTTCCTGTAAGAAGAACCAGATCTCCTTGGAGAAGCGGCCAAATCTTGTAGGGCAGGAAGAATCAAAAAGAGCCAGGGATACCTTGTCAAAAAACCATGGCACCTTCCAGCCACTTTGGGAACAGAATTTAAAAGCATAAGAAGGTCAGCATACAGAAAGGGCTATAGAGGCCAGACGACAGAACTCTCAGCATCAAAAAGAAAAACCATTATAATTCACTGGAGCAATTCCAAGACATGGCCCAAAAGGGGAAATTATGTAAAGTATACTAGACAAGTCATTTCTACTGATGCATCCCTAATTTCTCACAAAAGGGAAAAATGAGAAAACGCATTTAATTGGTCAAAGAATATAAAACACTGATTTTTTTTTTTTTACTGACAAAATACGTTCCTCTCATTGAGATTACATAGTTATTGCAGTTAATAATGGTGGTTATTCGTTCTGATTTCTCTTAGAGATATGAGATTTTTATAAAGAAAAACTCGCTGACATAACACCCCAAGAATATCAGAATTCAGTATTCACTGATAGCCTTTTACTTTTTCTTTTCTTTTTTTTTTTGAGACAGGGTCTCATGCTGTTGCCCAGGCTGGAGTGCAGTGGCACAATCACAGCTCACTGAAGCCTCAGTCTCCTGGGCTCAAGCAATCCTCCCAGCTCAGCCTCTCAAACAGCTGGAACTACAGGCACATGCTACCATGTCCAGCTAATTTTTTTTTAATGTTTTAAAGAGACGGGGGTCGCACTGTGTTGCCCAAGCTGGTCTCAAACTCCTGGCCTCAGGCAATCCTCCTGCCTCAGCCTCACAAAGCACTGGGCACTGGGATTACAGTTGTGAGCCACTGCCCTCAGCCCTATTCATTCTTTTTTTTTTTTTTGAGGCGGAGTCTCGCTCTGTCACCAGGCTGGAGTGCAGTGGCACAGTCTCGGCTCACTGCAACCTCCGCCTCCCGGGTTCAAGCGATTCTCCTGCCTCAGCCTCCCGAGTAGCTGGGACTATGGGCATGTGCCACCACGCCCAGCTAATTTTTGTATTTTTAGTAGAGATGGGGTTTCACCACGTTGGCCAGGATGGTCTCAATCTCTTGACCTCGTGATCCACCCACCTCGGCCTCCCAACGTGCTGGGACCACAGGCATGAGCCACTGCGCCCGGCCCTCATTCTTTAAGATAAAATTTAAGAGTTACCTCCTGTGAAGCTGTAAATGACCTCTTAAGCATAGTGAAGGGCTCCTGAAATCACCTTTATCTCTCTTACACACTCTGTGACTGTTCATTTACCTGCCTCCCTGTCATCCCTGACATCCAGCCCAGGGCATGACACACAACCAGAAGTTAGCATGTTTACTCAGTTACTGGGTGAATGCCAGCCACTGACACAATACATTGGAAAGGGTGGACACTCAAAAATATTTACTGAATGAATACATGAACTAACCTTCTGAGCAGCTAGACTCTGACTGCTTTCACTAAGAGCCAAAGATGTAAAATACTGGATACACTCATCTAGCTCTGTTTGAGGTAAGGAAGCCAGCAACTGTCTGAGCTCTTCTTCAGTGGAAGAATCCTGAAATAAAAGGAAAGGAAATTCTTCATAAATACTCAACAACTGAGTACAACAAAAAATATCCAAAGACTCAAAGCCAATATTTGCCATATATATCAAAGCCATATATTATGTGTGCATGTCTCTCTCTCTCTCTCTCTCTCTCTCTCTCTCTCTCTCTCTCTATATATATATATATATATATATATATACACACACACATATATATATGATATAGAGATCTAGGGAAAGAGATATCAGAGATTAATTACTGCTTTCAGTCTTGAAAACAGTCACCCACCCAGGTAAATAAACAATCATTTAATTTTGAATTCTATACTTTCATGTCTGCTACTTCAAACTGACAGACCTATTGTAAACTTTAACTCTCAATGTTCATCTGACATCTTGACATTCTCAACATCTTGACTCAAAATGAATTATTGCACCCTTACTAATTAAAGCTACTGCTTTTTAAATCCAGAACTTGTTACTATCTCATTTTCTCTAATAATTAATATCTAGTATGTTCATTTTTCTATTTTTCAAAAAGCTGCTAACACAGAAGTTTTAAGAGTTTCATTTTCTAGTCTAGGAAAGATACTCAAGAAACATGCTTTAAATCTATGGCAGTGTTTCTCAACCAGGGCCTGTTTTGCCCCAGAAACATCTGGCAACGTCTGGGGTCATTTTTGGTTGTTACAACTAGGGGGTGCTACTAGCATCTTGGGAGTAGAGTCCAGGGATGCTACTACACACCCTACAATTTACACAACAGCTTCCTACCACAAAGGATTATCTGGCCCAAAATGTCAATAGTGTTGAGGCTGAGAAAACCTGACCTACAGAAACTCAGAAGGGACCAACTCATGGATGCTGATATGCTATGGCATGTCACCCAATGGTTTATAGAGACTCCAAATTCCCAAAGGCAGAAAATAATATAGAAGGAACAGCCCCTCCTGAGGAACCAAATCTTTGTATAAAAACTATGATTTCAGTTTTACATTCCAGTTTATCTGCTTGTGAGAAGTAGCCAACAACTACTTTTTTAAAGTGTTTTGTACCCCAAGTGAAGATAATATATTAAACCATTTTTCACTCTCTAAATTACTATTATTATTGTTTTACTTACTTCTTTTAAAGATGGCAAAGGAGGTGGTAGGAGAAAAAAGCGAAGATCACTCTCTTCGCTTCGTGCCAAACCAATAAGAGTTTTCGGATCACAGGCTTGAGCAATTATCCTATACTGGTAATCTATTGAAAAAGCATTTTCTTTTGTTAATACCAAAACTAGCTGACAGATGTCATAAAGATTAACTGAACAAACAACTTGAAAGCACTCTAATTTTTAAACTGCTCTGCAAATTTGTAATCCAAAATTTCCCAAGTGCAACTACATTTACAACACCTATAAGCTAGATACGTTTCCAGGACTGATCTCACAATTCTCCTCAACATATATATGGAGACCGGGTCACAGCCTAACTTTTTGGAAAAAAGGAAGCTCAAAGGTGGAAACTGGTAAGTCAGAACCAATTTAACTTCTTTTTAAAACAATTCCAGCATTCAAAAGATGTTCTGACCACTACTCAAAACACATGAGGTGGCATTTAAGCCTACTGCTCCGTGGTGATGATATGGTGCTTTGGTATTCATAGTGTCCATGAATATTTAGTCTGCAGTTCCAGATAGCAGTACTTTGAATTAAACATGCCATTCTTTATATATCAAAAACAAAATTCCAACCATGAAAGCAAACATTATTTTCAATAATGGCAGTTTATAACCTGGGGTTGGCCAGTCGCCATGGTTCAGGCCTGTAATACCAGCACTTTGGGAAGCCGAGGCGGGCGGATCATTTGAGGTCAGGAGTTCAAGACCAGCCTGGCCAACATGGTGAAACCCTGTCTCTACTAAAAATACAAAAATTAGCCAGGCGTGGTGGCAGGCACCTGTAACCCCAGCTATTCGGGAGGCTGAGGCAGGAAAATAGCTTGAACCCAGGAGACGGAGGTTGTAGTGAGCCAAGGTCACACCACTATACTTCAGCCTGGGTGACAGAACAAGACTGTCTCAAAAAACAATAATAATAATAACCTGGGTGAGTACTTCTGGATCAAGTGGGGAACTTTTCCAAAATCTGTGGGCCAGGGCACTTCCTCTGATTTCTCTGATACAATAAGTCTGGAATGGAGCCCTGGAAGGCAAATTTTGAAAAATATTTCTATTCTAAATCTCCACCAACATTAAGTAAGCTTATACTTACATTATAAATTATAATTATAGCCACCAACCAATTAACAAATTAATTTGCAGAGATCTCATTCTGAGCTTAACTTTTCTTTGAGAATTTTTCTTTTTTTTTTTTTTTTTTGAGACAGTTTTGCTCTGTTGTCCAGGCTGGAGTGGAGTGGTACAATCTTGGCTCACTAACAACTCCACCTCGTGGGTTCGCAATTCTTGTGCCTCAGCCTCCCAAGTAGCTGAGATTACAAGCACACGTCACCATGCCCAGCTAAATTTTTTCTATTTTTTTAGTAGAGACAGGGTTTTGCCATGTTAGCCAGGCTGGTCTTGAACTCCTGGCCTCAAGTGACCCGCCTTCCTCAGCCTCCCAAAGTGCTGGGATTACAGGTGTGAGCCACCATGCCTGGCTGAGAAAATTATTTTTTTCTACTTTTCCCATTTTTACAAGACAGCTCTACTAACAAATTATAGTTTTATCCATGTACTATAACCAGAGAAGATATGAGTTCTTTTAAAAATATTTTTATTGTAAAATTTGTGATTTTTAAACACAATTACATATTTCAAATAGTCCATTAAAAATGATATACACAAATACAAATTGGGTACATTCGACTATTAGTATTAGAGCCAAGTAGATTGTAAAAGTAAAAGCAAACATAATTGTATGGTGTAGCAAGCAATTAAATGTACTTCATTAAATAGAAACCAAAAGAAAACTCAAGTACATTAGGTAACTATCAGAATCAAGAGTTGCTCTCAAAGAAGTATGTAACCAAATAAAACTTTGTTCTGGTAGAAAGTTACACAAATATATATACCTCATTTTTGAGCTTATTCTTACCAAACACATTTGACTACCAGTTCAGCAGGCTTTCTACTTTCCGTATCACTGAAGCTTCTTAAAATTTTTCAAATACTTTCTATATATACTAACACTGCCTGAATTATTTTCCTTCCTGAATCTCACTCCCACTCCCTTGTCTTTTTTTTTTTTTTTTTTTTTTTTTTTTGAGATGGAGTCTCGCTCTGTTGCCCAGGCTGGAGTGCAGTGGCGCAATCTCGGCTCACTGCAAGCTCTGCCTCCTGGGTTCACGCCATTCTCCTGCTTCAGCCTCTCGAGTAGCTGGGACTACAGACGCCCGCCACCATGCCTGGCTAATTTTTTTGTATTTTTAGTAGAGACGGGGTTTCACCATGTTAGCCAGGGTGGGTCTTGAACTCCTGACCTTGTGATCCAACCAGCGTGGCCTCCCAAAGTGCTGGGATTACAGGCGTGAGCCACCGCACCTGGCCACTCCCTTGTCTTTTATGTCAGCAATCAAGAGCCAGCTGAAGGCATGCCACCTGTTCAGGTAGTCTCATTACCATGCCAGTGATGGGTCTCCGACATTTCCCGCACAGCCTCGAGTCGCGTGGTTTTGTCATCTGACTTGCTCTTCCGTAGGAGCAGCCACACAGCACACTCATGATCTTCTATATCAACTGTACTAAAAGGATCTTTGCAAAAAGAAAAAGCCAAGACAATGTGAAAAGTTAAGATAATACTTTTATCTTCACTTTAAGATGGTAATTTATAAACACTGAAATCTACAATTGGAGAGTTAAATCCATATATATAGGTATTGATAAAAACTAATATTATTTGTTCTCAATTCTGTCATATTATCTTTTACAGTTATTATGAATACTGTGTGTGCTTTTTTTTGGATGGGGGGGCAGGGGTCAGTTTTGTTTTGTTTTTTGAGACAGTCTCGCTCTGTTACCCAGGCTGGAGTGCAGTGACACAATCGTGGCTCACTGCAGCTTCGACCTCTTGGGCTCAAACAATCCTCCCACCTCAGCCTCCTGAGTAGCTGAGATCACAGGGGTATACCATCAGGCCCAGCTAATCTTTTTTTTTTTTTCTAGAGACAGGGACTCAAGAAATTGCCCAGGCTCAATGTGTGTGCTTTTGTTTTGTATATTCTGGTGTCTTTCATATGTGGTCATTTTTAAAATCTTTTTCTCCCCAAAACTTTTTCAAAAAGATCAAATATATGAAAGAAATTAATAAGTTAACATAGGCTGGGCGAGGTGGCTCACACCTGTAATCCCAGCACTTTGGGAGGCCGAGGCAGGCGGATCACGAGGTCAGGAGATCCAGACCATCCTGGCTAACACGGTGAAACCCTGTCTCTACTAAAAATACAAAAAAAAAAAAAAAATTAGCTGGGTGTGGTGGCGGGCGCCTGCAGTCCCAGCTACTCGGGAGGCTGAGGCAGGAGAATGGCGTGAACCCGGGAGGCAGAGCTTGCAGTGAGCAGAGATCGCGCCACTGCACTCCAGCCTGGGTGACAGAGAAGGCTCTGTCTCAAAAAAAAAAAAAAAAAAAAAAAAAAAAAAAAGAATAACATCCATACATCACATCTAGATTCAATAACTGTTATTATTTTACCGTATTTTCTTCATCTATATTCACATGTAATTTTTCCCAAACTATTTGAAAGGATGATGTAGACAAAATGACATTTCAGCCTTTCACAGTTCAACCTGCATCTCCTAAGAACAATCCTGCATTCTCTTAAATAACCACAATGCTATTATCACACCCAAAAACACTAACAAAAATCTTCCCAAATCATCTAAAATTCAGTCTAATTCCATATTCAAGCTTCCCCAATTTTTCAAAAAAATATATTTAAAGCTGTTTTTTAAAACCAAGATTTAATAGTCTCTTTCAATTATAGAAAGTCTTCCCACCTTTTATTTTCACGATGCCAACTTTTTAAGGAGATCAGATAAGCCCTTTTGTATCTAGCTCCACACTGTAGATTAACCTGATTGTGAAATCTATGATATTGGATATACTATGCTCATTATGAAGGCATGGGAGTGATTTTCTAACAAATTTAAAATTATAAAACACTTATCAAGAGAATAGGGTATATTTTATCTCCATATTTATTCACAATTACCTAAGGAAGGAAGAAAATTGTCAAAAGCATTAAGCCCTTAAAATTAAATACAGTCCAAGAGAATAATGTTAATTACTTTGCTTTTTTTTTGAGACAGAGTCTCACTCTGTCACCCAGGCTGGAGTGCAGTGGCATGATCTTGGCTCATTGCAACCTCTGCCTCCTGAGTTCAAGTCATTCTCCTGCCTCAGCCTTCCGAGTAGCTGGGATTACAGGCACCCACCACCACACCTGGCTAATTTTTGTATTTTTAGTAGAGACAGGGTTTCACCATGTTAGCCAGGCTGGTTTCAAACTCCTGACCTCAGGTGACCCACCCACCTCAGCCTCCCAAAGTGCTTGGATTACAAGCGTGAGCCACCATACCTGGCCTGATTAATTTTCCATAGCTATAAAAAATATTAGTATAAGAAATGAAAAAAAGTATCAGGTTGATCATTCCAATGACTTTCAGATTACTGATAAGGATTCCAAGTCATATAGTGGATATTTACCAGCAAATGGATTCCGCAGTATCTTGGCTGATGTTGCCAATACTTTTCTTACTGCTTTGTGAAGTTCTTTTCTTGCCTGCCAGGCAATACCTAAAATGATTATAAAATTAAGTAAAACCAAGAATGTATTTTTTTTTTCTTTTGAGATGGAATCTTACTCTGTCGCCCAGGTTGGAGTGCAGTGGCACAATCTCGGCTCACTGCAAGCTCTGCCTCCCGGGTTCACCCCATTCTCCTGCTTCACAGCCTCCCGAGTAGCTGGGACTACAGGCCCTCGCCACCACGCCTGGCTAATTTTTTTGTATTTTTAGTAGAGACAGGGTTTCACCTTGTTAGCCAGGATGGTCTTGATCTCCTGACCTCATGATCCGCCCTCCTCGGCCTCCCAAAGTGCTGGGATTACAGGCGTGAGCCATCACACCCGGCCCAAGAATGTATTCTTAACACTATGCTCCAACGTTTCAAAGAGATATGTATAAACTCCATATTTTTTCACAAAGAAAATACAAAATAACACTGTTGTCTTTTTATTGTCACTATCGATGCAACTAAAACCATTATGGAAACACAGAGCTCTCAATTCCAAAATAAGATTGCTCTCCAAGTCAGGGAAAAGTAAAAACAAAAACACTAACTACAAAAATACTAACTAAAGCTAATGAAAATCCTCATATACAACATAGGTTTTGCAATATCCAGGAAAATGTCCCTCATGATGAGCTCGCCTCAAACTGAAGTTTGGAGATACTTTATTAAAGAGATTAAGTCTCAATATACAGGTATATTATAAGCAACAACAATCATCTATGTAACTGAAATTGTAAACATACCATAAAAGCATGTTGAAATACACAAAATGATATAATAACAAATAGCAACAGGGCAGCAAGGTGACAGACACAGGCGAGCAGCAGAGCCTGCCTCACTTGAGGAACATCATGTTAACTGGCACATTCTAGCTAACAGTGTATGAACAGGCAGCTGTGAGTCAAGTATGTGACTCACCATGCTATCCATATGTTGAGGAAAATATACTCCTCTGCTCTAAAAGTTCACGTTCCCATGCAACCATATGATCGCTAATGAGGGCTTCCATGTGTCCTAAATATTGAGAAGTGGAGTGTCCTAACTAGTAAAGACAGGTTTTCTAGCCTTGGTGACAGATAATTATAATAAATGAGTTGGCATTCATATTTATGAATATATCTCATGAGTTTGGTTTGCATGAATACATCCCTTAAAGTAGAAATATCACTGAGCTAAATTACAAAATCATGTTTTTTGTACTTGCCAAACTGAGAGCCAGCCTCTGTATTGACAGCCCCACTAAGATGTGGAATTCCAGGTTCAGACTAAAAATGCCAGTTAGTCTTCACTTAATTTTAGGAGAGTTGCAAACCTGGATTAAATACGGAAGCCTAAACTTTGGTCCTCAATTAATTCTTCAGGAACTTGGTTTTCACGGGGTTTGGTGATTCTTAGAATTAGCTCAATCTGTATTACTAATACTGTGTTTTAAATAGACGCATTTTTAAATGCAATAACTAGCTTCCATTTTTCACAGAGGATTACTTTACAATAAACTTACCATGATTTTCTCCTTTGTCTAAAGAAACTGTGTGCACATATATATATGACTTCATTTTTTCTCGTTCTACCACTTGAGTATCTAATGTCACAGCCTTCTTCAGGGCCAGAACTTCATATGTAAGAAATAAAGAACCTCTTAAAGAGAAAAGAAAAAATGCATCATAAATAGACAATCAAAATGTAACACAAGAGCTACTCTTCTCTATTAAGCTTGTCATAGTAAACTTCTTTTTTGTTGGGAAACATAACATGTATACAGTAATATGCATATAACATTTATACAGTCATGTATCACATACTGACTTTTTGTTCAAGGACAGACCTCATATACGATAGTGGTCTCATAAGATTATAATGGAGCTAAAAAATTCCTGTCTCCTAGTGACTGAGTAGCCATCGTAACACATTACTCACGTTTGTGGTGATGCTGTGTAAACAAATCTACTGTGCTGCCCGTCCTATAAAAGTCTAGCTCATACAATTACGTATAGTACATAATACTTGATAATAATAAATGTTACTGATTTATGTATTCACTATAGTATACTTTTATTGCTATTTCAGAGTGTACTCCTTCTACCTACCTGTAAAATGCCTAGGGCAGGTCCATCAGGAGGCATCCAGAAGAAAGTGTTGTTATCACAGGAGATGACAGCTCCATGCATGTCACTGCCCCTGAAGACCTCACAGTGGGACAAGATGCGGAGGTGGAGACAGTGATATGGATGATCCTGACCCTGTGTAGGCCTAGGCTAATGGGTTTGTGTTTCATTTTTAACAAAAACATTTAAAAAGTTAAAAAAAAAAATTTTGCTGGCACAGTAGCAAGGCACGTAGTCTCAGCTATTCGGGAGGCTAAAGCAGAAGGATCCCTTGAGCCCAGGAGTTCAAGCCTGCGGCATGCTATGACTGTACCCACGAGTAGCCGCTGCTCTCCAGCCTGGGCGACAGAGCAAGACCTCGTCTCAAAAAGATTTTTTTTTTTGAGGTGGAGTCTCACTCTGTCACCCAGGTTGAAGTGCAGTGGCACAATCTCGGCTCACCGCAAGCTCTACCTCCTGGGTTCACGCCATTCTCTCACCTCAGCCTCCCAAGTAGCTGGGACTACAGGCGCCTGCCACCACGCCCGGGTAATTTTGTTTTTGTATTTTTAGTAGAGATGGGGTTTCGCCATGTTAGCCAGGATGGTCTCAATCTCCTGACCTTGTGATCCACCCACCTCGGCCTCCCAAAGTGCTGGGATTACAGGCGTGAGCTGCCGCGCCCGGCCTCGAAAATATTTTTTAACAGACAAAAGTTTATAGAATAAAGACATAAAGAAAGAAAATATTTTTGTATAGCTATACAACGTGTTTGTGTTTTAAGCTAAGTGTAATTACAAAAGTCAAAAAGTTTTTCAAAAATTTAAGTTCATAAGTTAAAAAAAAAAAATACAGTAAGCTGAGGTTAATTATTAAAGCCAGGACTTTATTTATATTTAGAGACAGGGTCTCAACCACGTTGCCCAGGCTGGCCTCAAACTTCTGGGGTCATGTCATCCTCCTGCCTCAGCCTCCCGAATAGCTGAGACTACAGGCCCACACCACTACATCCAGCTAGGTTAATTATTGAAGAAAAAAATATTGTTTTATAAATATAGTGTAGCTGGGTGCAGTGGTGCATGCCTGTAGTACCAGCTAGTTAGAAGGCTGAGGCAGGAGGATCACTTGCATCCAGGAGTTCAAGGCCAGCCTAGGCAAAACACAGTGAGACTCTGCCTTTAAAGAAAACACAAAGTTCAGCCAGGCACAGTGGCTCACACCTGTAATCTCAACACTCTGGGAGGCCGAGGCGGGCGGATCACCCGAGGTCAGGAATTCAAGACCGGCCTGGCCAACATGGCAAAACCAAGGCTCTACTAAAAATACAAAACTTAGCCAGGCATGGTGGCGGGCGCCTGTAATCCCAGCTACTCAGGAGGCTGAGACAGGAGAATTGCTTGAACCGAGGAGGCAGAGGTTGTAGTGAGACGAGATCATGCCACTACACTCCAGCCAGGGCGACGGAGCAAGACTCCATCTCCGAAAAAAAAAAAAGTGTAATGTAGCCTAAGTACACAGTGTTGATAAAGTCTATAGTAGTGTGCAGTAATGTCCTAGGCCCTCACTCTCACTCACCCAGAGCAACTCCAGGTCCTGTAAGCTCCACTCATGGTAAGTGCCCTATATAAGTGTACCATTTTAAAATTTTATTTACTGTACCTTTTTTTGTTTGGATACGTTTAGGTACACAAATACTTCCCATTGTGTTATAATAGCCTACCGTGTTCAGCACAGTCACATGGCTGCACAGGTTTGGAGCCTAGGAGCAACAGGCTGTCCCATACAGCCTAGGTGTGGAGTAGGCTCTGCCACCCAGGTCTGTGCAAGTGCACTCTGTGATGATTGCACAACAATGAAATCACCTAACAACACATTACTCAGAATGTATCGCCATTATTGACACATGACTGTATATATACATATACATGTATATACACATTTCGGCTTACAAATAATAAATAGCTGCATAATCATATCCAGGCAAGAAACAGAATGTTAACAGAACCCCAGAAACCCACAATGTGTCCCTCCCGGATAATGATCTGTTCTCATCTCTATATATGATTCTGATTTTTATTATAACAATGTGCTTTTCTTTACAGTTTTACCACCTATATATGCATCCTTAAACAACAGAGCTTAGTTTTGCCTGTTTTTGAAATTCATATCAATGGAATCACACTACATGTATTCTTTTGCTCAGCCTTGTATTTGTGAGTTATCCATGTTGTTGCATGTAAAATGTAGTTCCCGCACTTAGATTTTCGTATAGTATGCAATTATCCATTGCATGGATATACTACAACTTACTTATTCACTCTCCCATAGATGGGTATTGAGAACGTTTCTAGTTTGAGTCTGTTACAACAATGCTGTGACATATCTTATACATCTGTACTGTGCATACAGTACGTGTTCCTCTATCTACACGTACAGGTATCTAGAATTACATACCTTCTGATAGTATACATATTCAATTTTACTAGAGAATGACAAACCGTTTTTGCAAAAAGATTAGCCAATGTGTACTCCCATCATCAGCATATGAAAGCTTTTCCTTTCCTAAGAGCAACACCTGAAGTTAACTTTAAATGTTGTTTGTTGTGAATCTCAAAATGAAGATTTCTTTTTTCCTAATCAGATTGACTTACACACTCCCTAAATCCTGACACAAAGATTGCACTCTGGATTCAGAGCTTAGCACCTTCTTCTGACCTTTGGTTTCTACCCTCAGGCAAGCAGGTAAAACAAAGTCCAGATACTAGCTAGCACCAGAGGAACACAAAGAAGCCTCTTTAGAATCCTCTGCCCTCGGCCAAGGGCAGTGGCTCAGGCCTGTAATCCCAGCACTTTGGAAGGCCAAGACGGGCAGATCACCTGAGCTCAGGAGTTCAAGACTAGCCTGGGCAACATGGCAAGACCCCGTCTCTACTAAAAATACAAATACAAATAATAATAATAATAACAATAATAATAACAGCCAGGTGTGGTGGTACACACCTGTGATCCAGCTATTTGGGAGGCTGAGGTGGGAGGATCACCTGAACCCAGGGGGCAGAGGCTGCACTGAGTGGAGATCACGCTACTGCACTCTAGCCTGGGTGACAGAGGAAAACTCTGTCTCAAAAAAAAAAAAAAAAAAAAAGAATCCTCTGCTCTCTTCGGGATGTATCTGAACAGCCAACAAAAGGGGTAAATGTATTCAGTACTTTTATCCTGTTTTCCATGAAAGACAAAATTCTTTACTATAATAAAAAACTGTAATTAATGTTCACTATATTCCTGAATATAATTGTGAGCTAGACAAACTGCATTACAGAAAAGGTTCCATATACATTTATGCTTTGCCCAGAATGAGTCAAAGGGAAAAATTATCTAAATATATTTTGCCTTACATTACAATGTCATGGAGAAATGTATGCATTTGGATAAAATGCCAAATATATCTCTTTTATCATTTCGGCATCTGAGAGTTAATTTTATATTTGTACTAGTAAAAAGTATTAACAAATACAGTACGATAGTATTACATATATATTCCTCCCCCTAAAAAAAAGTAAAAGAGTATGAAAAATAACAATTTGCTGAAAGAGGGTCACTGCATTCATTACACATGCTCCTGAGGGAGCATCAGATAGGAGACGTCCATCTGTTGGTTTTCTCAGTCAGCCTCAATTTCCTTTCATGCGAGCTTTATGGTGAGTTAAGGGATTTTCCAAAATACTTTTGACCATAGTCAATTTGTACCTTTTTCACCCACTTTAGAACCTAATACCAGATGTGACCCTAAGTGTGTCAGAGCTGAGTGAGTGCCCGATTTAACTGTGTCAGAGCTGAGTGAGTGCCCGATTTAAGCGTGCCGGAGCTGAGTGAGTGCCTGATTTAAGTGTGCCGGAGCTGAGTGAGTGCCTGATTTAAGTGCGCCGGAGCTGAGTGAGTGCCCAATTTAAGCCTGCCGGAGCTGAGTGAGTGCCTGATTTAAGTGTGTCAGAGCTAAGTGAGTGCCTGATTTAAGTGTGTCAAAGTGCTTTCCTCACAGCAGCAGTGCCTGGCAGGCAGAGTTCCTAGTACACATTTGGCTCCAAGAGAAAGCACTCCTCAGAAAGTAAGGAAACCACATCATGACAACATTTAAGTGGTGGGATCAGTGATTAAATCCACCAGTCTAATTCCAAAATCTATACCCTTTCAAGACCTCATGCAACCTGTCAATCACTGCCATTGAGATTTCCAATAGAGTATAATGAAGCCAATTAATATTCCACAGTTGACGACTTACCCTAAAATAAGTGATCCAGTAAACTTTATTATATTTCCTTCAAAAGAAAAAAAGTCAATGTGATGAATTTCATTTTTAAAAGTGTGAAAGGAAATAGGCAACAGTGTAAGTCTCTACCTATATCATATATTATCAGATAAGAAGTTATTATTTTTCTATTAATATAATCAGTTGCTATTAATAAATGGTCTCCTATCCTTAGACACAAACACACAAATCAACAAGTACTAAGTGCAAATATAATGTATATTGATGACATTTCATACCTCCCCTTTCTCCACCTCCTAGTCCCTGTTCCACTACTGATGCTAGTAGGACTACAATGCTTCCACCAAATGCAACATGCAGGCAGCTCACTTCCCTTCTGACCCCTTTTAGTTAACAACCCATTAAAGAAAGAAATGGGAAGCATTGTCCCTATCACTACTAGGACTATACTGAAGGATTATATTGTCAAGTGGGGACATAAAAGAATGTTTTCTAAAGTAATTATGTTATAATTGATGGTTAGGTACATACGTACGTAGCCCCATTTAAAATAGAGATTAGGCCGGGTGCGGTGGCTCACGCCTGTAGTTCCAACACTTTGGGAGGCCAAGGCGAGTGGATCACCTGAGGTCAGGAGTTCGAGACCAGCCTGGCCAACATGGTGAAATCCCATCTCTACTAAATATTAAAAAAAAAATTATCCAGGCATGGTGGCGCATGCCTGTAATCCCAGCTGCTCGGGAGGCTAAGGCAGGAGAATCGCTTGAACCACGGAGGCAGAGGTTGCAGTGAGCCGAGATTGTGCCACTGCACTCCAGCCTGGTCGACAGAGCAAGACTCCATCTTAAAATAAATAAATAAAATAAAATACAGATTATATTCTACAAGTTTATTTATAAATGTTTGTTTGGGTCTTGGAAAACTTTTTTAATATTAAAAAATTCCTATGGCAGACACTGATAATTGCCTGTCCAATACACATGCCCTTTAATCCTTACAAATACACAACCTGATTACCACCCAAAAATATTCAAATTCCTAGACAACTCTGTAGCTAGGGCTAACAGTGTAACACAGTTGTAGCCAATCGGATATAGATGGAAGTCTATAGAGATGGATCCCTCCCCACATAAAAAGACAAAGCCTCAAAATGGCTTTTGGCCCTCTGCTTCTTGATGCCCAAGGATTCAGCAAGCATCTTGTGACCATGAGGACAATAAAGAGAATGGAACAGGAAGACAAGAAGATTGCTAAACTGTAATTCCTGCCCTAAACTGTCTCCACCTTGGCTTATTATTATGTAAGAAGAATGAAAATCATATTAACTTAAGCCACTGGACTCAAGCTTCTGTTACATGCACTGAGCACAACCTTAACTGATGGTACTCATGATTAGGTACTGAGGCTAGCCCACAAAAATCTTTATATATATATAAATATATTATTTTTATATATAAATATATTTTATATATAATAAATATATTATATATGTTTAAATGTATAATATATTTATATAATATATTAATATATTATATAAATATATTTTATATATAATAAATATTAATATATTTATATAGATATTAATATATTTATATAGATATTAATATATTTATATAAATATTAATATATTTATATAGATATTAATATATTTATATAAATATTAATATATTTATATATAATAAATACATATAAACTATATATATATATATGTATAGACAGAGTTTCATTCTGTTGCCCAGGCTGGAGTGCAATGACACAATCTCAGCTCACTGCAATCTCCACCTCCTGGGTTGAAGCGATCCTCCTGCCTCAGCTTCCTGAGGAGCTAGGATTACAGGCGCCCACCACCACACCCAGCTAATTTTTGTATTTTTAGTAGTGACAGGGTTTCACCATGTTGACCAGGCTGGTCTTGAACTCCTGACTTCAAGTGATCCACCCACCTCAGCCTCCCAAAGTGCTGGGATTACAGGCATGAGTCACCGCACCCAGCCTTAACCTATAATTTATTGCACGTATTGAGACAGTCCTTTGTTCAGAGCTTCAACTCATGCTGCCAAAATGACATTTGTCCTCACTTCTCTTTTTGTATTTAAAACACAGTATCAGAATTTTCTAGATGAAAATGATCTATCCCTAAAAACAGATTTCTCTTAAAGATCAAAAAGAAACTCCATGAGGAAAAGGACTTTGTTTTATTCAATATTGTATTCTTAGGGCCTAGAATTGTACCTGGCACACAGTAGATGGTCAATTAAATATTTTGTTTATTGTCAAATGAATAAAAGATGTTCTACGCCAATCTTCTCATTTTACACATAAAGGAAATAATGCTCAGAAAAGGTAAGTTATTTTATTCTTCCATTCAACAAACACTATTTGATCACCTACTACATGCCATGCATGATAAATAACTAGGTTATAGTGGTAAACAAGATAAAATACTGCCTTCACAGAGTTTACAGCATATGGGGAAAGACAGATAATTAAGTTCTATACTGACCCTATGAAATGACAAGTAACAGATCCAACCGGGCCTAGGGTGTCAGAGAAAGCTTCCTAAACGAAGGCAAGGCTCCAAATGGAGTAGACTGGAGCCATATCCCGAGCCCCCGTAAGGCAAAGACAACATCTTCCTTGCTCACCAGTGTATTCCCAGAACCTAATATGGGTGTTGTTTTGCAAGAGCTTAATAAATATCTGCTGAATGAAAATGCAGTTATATTTAAGTTTAGGATGATGAGTATGAAATTTGACAGAAGAAGTAGAAGAGGGAAAATAATTCTCAAGAAAAAGGAGTATGTATGGCTCTGGGCCTATAAATTTGGGGTGAACTATTAGTACAGAAAGACATAAACAAATTTGAGATTTAATCATGGGTTCAAAAAGTTTTTGTGGCCCATCTTAGAAATGGCCACAATTCTATCACTGTTCCTATAAGAAAATAAGAGTTGTTTAAGCTGTACTCACTGATATCTCTCCAGTGTGTGCCACTTTTTGGTGGGGAAGTAGAGGTTCCTATTCTTCTGCAACAGATGACGCAATAAGCAGCCAGGGACATTCTGTGTAAGTAGAACAATTACAACAAATTTAATTTAGCATCTAAATCAAAACACTTGTTTTAACTACAAGAACATGTTACCATCACAGTGGATGACCCACAGAGTTAGCTTTTTCAAGACTACGAAGAAAACTTTCCAATTAAAAAAAAAATTCTCCATTAAAAACTTAAAAGGGACTTATTAGAATAATATTTTGTTAGAATTTTCATTATTCTTCCTCACACTGTGTCCAATTGTGCATAGTTTTCACAATTGGAAAGATGATCTAAATATGATACAATCATTCCCAGAACACAAGAATTAAACGGTAACAAGAATAGACAGACTATTAATCAGAATACCAATATAGGCATGAAAAAAATTTAATGTCTTTGAAAATATATGTATATATGTATTTATCTCTGATGACTGAAGTCCCCACAGAAATGAGAAGCTCTATGTGGACGGTACACTTAGAATCCATAGAAGCATTTAGCTTTTCTCTAGTTCTTTCAGGATAGTACCCACGTTGTTTAAAATTTTTGAAATTTGTTCATTGTTGGCATTCTATCAAAGGAGAGCTGTCATCCACCTAATTCATCAACTGAGTAAAGATGATCATATGCTGCAATCATTCCCAGAACACAACTCAGTATTCTAGACCCATATCAGGTTGTCTTTGGATAGTGAGGTTTTTTTTTCTTTTTCCTTTTGCTATAAGGGAAAGGAAGGAAGGTACCTTGAAGGTACCTCTCTCTTTTGTTTTGTTTTCTATTTCTGCTTTTTATTATTTTCTTCTTTCTTTCTTTGGGTGCATCCTGTCCTTTTCCTAACTTCTTCAATAATGCCTAAGATGAGCATTTCTTGTTCTTTCACAAATGCATTTAACACTAGAAATTATTATAATCCCAGCACATTGGGAGGCTGAGGTGGGCAGATCACGTGAGCTCAGGAGTTCAAGACCAGCCTGGCCAACATAGTGAAACCCTGACTCTACCAAAAAGAATTAGCCAGGTGTGGTGGTGCACTCCTGTAGTCCCAGCTACTCGGGAGGCTGAGGTGGGAGAATTGCTTGAACCTGGGACGCTGAGGTTGCAGTGAGCTGAGATTGCGCCACTGTACTCCAGCCTGTCGTCTCCAGCAAGAGTGAGACCCGGTTTCAAAAAAAAAAAAAAAAGACTATAAATTATCCCTCTAAAATTCCACTGTAATTTTTCTCTAATCTGTGAGCTGTTTAAGAGTGTAGCTTTTAGTTTCCAAATATATAAAACTTTTTAAGATTATCTTTTTTTTTTTTTTGAAACAGGGTATGGCTCTGTCACCCAGGCTGGAGTGCAATGGTGCAATCACCACCCACTGCAACCTCTGCCTCTCAGGCTCAAGCAATCCTCCCACCTCAGCCTACCGAGCAGCTGGGACTACAGGTGCCCACCACCACACTCAACTAATTTTTTGTATTTTTTGTAGAGACAGGGTTTCACCATATTACCCAGGCTGGTCTTGAACTCCTGACCTCAAGTGATCCACCCGCCTCGGCCTCCCGAAGTGCTGGGATTACAGGCAAAGATTATCTTATTCTGCTATGTGACATAGATTATTTAAAATTGTGAAGACTTGCTTTGTTACCTGATTCCAGTCAATATTTATAAATATATCATACAAGCTTATTCTTTGTTGCGAGCAGAATATATCCATTATACTAGGCTTGTTAATTTTGTTGTTTCTATAGTCCTGCTAATTTATTTTTCACAGCTCCAAACGGCCATTGAACAGCCTTCCTAATTTTGTCTGCATGATCTACCAGTACGAGAGGGGTTTTTTAAAAGTTTCATACTGATTTGCGCACTTGTCGATTTACCCCTTTTGTTGTCCTTTTTTTTTTTATTCATTAAGCAAATACTTATCTGAGTCCCTAGGAACGAAGAACTGTTCTAGATGCTAGCAATTTAACAATGAAAAAGAAAAATCTGCCCTTGCTTTCATGGATCTGACTCTCTAGTGCAAAACACCCCAATCTGTGGCAAACAAATACTACCCTTTTTGGGGGGTCATAATGTGAAAAGATATGCCATCAGGTGCACACAAATGAATGATTATTAGAAACTTAGTACTTTTTTCCTTTTGTCATCACATACTATCTTCCTTTATCCCTATTAACATTTATTGCTTTAAGTTCCTTGCCAGTTTTCTAAGTATTTAACTATCTTACCTTTTCCCATCATGGTTATAATCTTTTGGTATCATTTATAATTTCAAAACCTCTCTTTGAATAGATGAATTTAATCCATTTACATTTATCGCATGTTGGATAGATCAGGATTTTTTTATTACTCTTTAATTGGCTTAAAGTTATACAATTTATTTCTATTCCTTTAGTAAACAGCCACATTTTAAATGTGCTATATAGTATGAATTTAAACAATATAATTATCCTCCCAAATGAGAATATTAGAATGCTTTAAATACGATCCTCTCCTATCTTGTCTAGTATTTTAATTCCATTTTATTTTTAAACATCCCAAAAGAAGTCATTTTTAAAAGCAGTCAACCTAAATATTTACCAACATTTTGTCAGTTTCCTTCCTTACTTTTGTTTCTTGCATCCACAACTTCCTCCTAGGTTCAAATCATTCTTGATGAAGGTATATCCTTTGATAGTTCCTTCATGAAGGCATATATGTAGTTAGCACTCTCACTCTCAGCATGTCTAAAAATGCTCTATTTTAGATATACTAAAAAATAGTTGTGTTTGGGCCAGGCGTGGTGACTCATGCCTGCAATCCCAGCACTTGGAGGCCAAGGTGGGCAGACTGCTTGAGCCCAGGAGCTCTAGGCCAGCCCAGGAGTTCAAGACCAGTGAGACTTCATCTCTCCAAAAAAATTTAAAAAATTAGCTGGGCCTGTTGGCATGTGCCTGTATTCCCAGCTACTCGGGAGGCTGAGGCAGAGGAATTGCTTGAGCCTGGGAGACAGAGGTTTCAGTGAGCCATGATCACGCACTACACTTTAGCCTGGGAGACAGAGTAAGACTCTGTCTCAGAAAAAAAAAAAAAAATAGTAATAGCTGGGTTTGGAATTCTGGGTTTAGAATTTAGAATAACAGTAGGTTTCCTTTGGTACATTAATGGTATTTTCACTGATATTTCTTGTTGCTCAGGAGAAATCTAAGTCTAACTGTTGTTTCTTTGTAGGCAAAATAATAGCAAAGAAGTTTAAGAATGTGCTCTGTAGGACCACACTGCCTGGTTTCAAATCCAATTCCACAAACAACTTGTATTAGTAATTTTTTTTTTTTTTTTAAGAATGCTTTGACATCTTAGGACCTTAAGGACCCAGGGAGTGACTGCCCCTCTCTGGGATAGCTAACTGCTAGAGGTAGCAAACAACCTGCCTGTGAGCATGCTTCTCATATGCAAACCAACCAATCCCAGGTGCATACCCCCAACCACCACACACAGCCAATGCTTCCCTTACTCTAAATCTCCTCAGAGCCAGGTACTAGGCAGCTAGAGACCACCTCTCTGGTCTGCCAAATTATTCGAACTATCCAATCCTAAGTTTGTTCAGCTCGTCTACCCTGTCTCGCTCATTCCTTCCCACAAAAAAAACGTTCATTCCTTCCCACAAAAAAACACAATAAAAGAAAGCTCTGGCCCATGCTTTCACATTGCTCCTTATGCCTCCTGAATGACCCTGGTACTTCCCCATGTGGCCTTGCATGGTGTGGCACGCCCACTCTTCCTTGGGAACTGTACATAATAAGCTCTTCTTTCAAGGCAGTTGTCTCTGTGTCTGTCTTCTTACCATTCCTGATTAAAACAAAATCCAGGTACATTTGAAAACACTAGACATATGATAATGGGCTATTTAACCTCTGTGTCTCACTTTCCTCATCTATAAAATGGTGATAATAAGGGAACTACTGTAAAGGGTTGTTACAAATATCACATGAGTTAATATATGTAAAACACACAGAATAGTGCCTATTCCAAATTAAGTGTTCAATAAATGCTACTTATCATTACTATCAATATTATATTCCATCTGGCAGTTTTAAGATCTTTTTGATGTTCTTACAATTCTCTACTTTATGTCTGGGTATGGGTTTGTTTTTATATACCCCACTCAAGATTTGGTATGCTCCTTTGATCTTAGAACTCACATTTTTCTTCAATTCTGCAATATTCTTAACAATTACCACTTTGACCCCCATTCAACTTTTACCTTCTGATACTCCTATTAGATGTATGCTAGATTTTTAAAGTCTAACCTTCAAATCTCAACTTCTTCCATTTTTTTCTATCTGTCTGACATGCACTATAATTTCCCCAAATCTATCTTCCAATTCATCACCTTCTGTTTAGTTGTATTTAGACTATCATTCGATCCATCCACTGAGTATTTCAAAAACTTTTATTTCTAAAACTTCCAGTTGGCTCACTTTCATACTTGCCTGCTTTTTTTACACATAGTTTTTGTCTTAAATGCAGATTTTTTTTAATGGCCACAAATTATTCCTTTTCCTATAACCATGATCTTTGGTAGTCCCCTCCCACGGTGACTTTAGATTGATCTTACGAGTAACTTTGGCCATAGGACAATAGAAGCATGATGCAAGCTGAGACTTGGGAAGTACGTGCACATCGAGGCTCCTGTCTTTTTGCTCTTGAGAAACCTGTGACCAGCACCATGTAAAGATGCCTAGGTTAGTCTGCTGGATCACAAGAGAAATGTCCAATATCCCCATTAATGAAGCCAACAAGTACCAACTGACAGCCAGCAACAGCCGCCAGGCATGTGAAGCCACATCAAACTAGCCAGCCCCTAGGTGACCCTACAAATCCATATTCAGTCCTTAGCCTGCAAGCAATAATAAATGTTTGTTTTAGCCCGTAGCCTTTGGGATGGTTTATAATGCCTCAAAAAGCTGACATGTAACTTCTAAACTTTCCTTTACACGAGATATATGAGGTTGCTGCCAGCATAACTTGTTTTACAGTAAATTTTATTTTTTTATAAGTAGAGGGAATAGATGAATACACTATAAAATAACAATAAAAAGTATACCATAGGGCCAAGTGTGGTGGCTCATGCCTATAATCCCAGTGATTTGGGAGGCCAAGGTGGGATGATTGCTTGAGACCACAAATCAACTGACTATATCTGCGGCACATGCCTGTAATACCAGCTACTCAGAAGCCTGAGGCAGGAGGACTGCTGGAGCTCAGGAGCCCAACACCAGCCTAGGCAATACAGTGAGACCCACATCTCAAAACAAACAAACAAAAAACCCTAATGGAATACATATGTATGGACCTATTCCACTCCATCGATCTATTTATCTATCCTTATATAAACACTGCACTGTTTAGATTATGTAGGTTTTTTGTTGTTTTTTGTTTTCTTTTTGACAGAGTCTCACTCTGTCGCCCAGGCAGGATGGAGTGCAGTGGCCTGATCTCAGCTCACTGCAACCTCCGCCTCCCAGGTTCAAGCAATTCTCCTGCCTCAGCCTCCCAAGTAGCTGGGATTACAGATGCCCACCACCATACCTGGCTAATTTTTGTATTTTGGGTAGAGACAGGGTTTCACCATCTTGGCCAGGCTGGTCTTGAACTCTTGACCTCGTGATCCACCCGCCTCGGCTTCCCAAAGTGCTGGGATTACAGGTGTGAGCCACCGCACCAGGCAGATTACTGTAGTTTTTAAAGTAAGTCTTGAAGCTAGTAGTATAAATTTTCCAGCTGTGTCCTTCCTTTTCAAGACGGACTATTCTAGGTCCTTGGTACTTCCACATAATTTTAGAGTCTGCTTGTCAATTTCTATTTAAAAGCACCTTTAAGATTATGGGGCCAGGCACGGTGGCTCACGCCTGTAATCCCAGCACTTTGGGAGGCCGAGGCAGGAGGATCACGAGGTCAGGAGATCGAGACCAGCCTGGATAACCCGGTGAAACCCCATCTCTACTAAAAATTCAAAAAATTAGCTGGGTGTGGTGGCGGGCACCTGTAGTCCCAGCTACTCAGGAGGCTGAGGCAGGAGAATGGCGTGAAACTAGGAGGTGCAGCTTGCAGTGAGCAAAGATTGCGCCACGGCAGTCCAGCCTGGGCGACAGAGCGAGACTCCATCTCAAAAAAATATATATATATATTATGACGGTGATTACATAAAATCTGAAACACTGATTTTAAGTAGAGAACGGAGAAATTTTGAGACTAAGAAAGACACAGAAAATAAAAGGGAAGAGATTATAATTTAAAAATAAAACAAATATTTGAAAATTCCATTAAGTTTAACAATATGGAGGTCACTGGGATCTTCATATCAGTAGCTTCATTGCCCTGGTGGAGGAAGCCAGAGTGAAACATCATTTCATGCTTTCATTCTGATTAATAAAACGTGAGTTGTAGCTAGGTACACAGACAACAAAAAAGACTACATCACCTTTCTTTCTTTCTAGTTAACTATGGGCACTTACAAAGAATTGGCTAATGAAATATGAGTGGATGTGTCATGTGCAATTTCTGAAAAGTGTCCTTAAAAAGAAGGGTATGTGCCTTTCTTCCTCCTTCCCTCCTCCCTCTTGCTAGAATGAGCAACTGACAGTTTGAATTAAAGCAGTCATCTTAACACCAAGCATCTTATTAAGGACGGTAGAGCAGCCAGATAGAAGAATCCGAGTCCCTGATGATTACAGAGCTGCTTCCATAAAAGCATGGCTGCCTACCTATGCAATTACATACATATTTAAGCCAGTATTATCTTGTTTTCTGTGTAACACAGCTGATTCCAACACACCACAGTTTTTTGTTTTTTGGTTTTTTTTTTGAGACAGAGTCTCTCACTCTGTCACCCAGGCTGGAGTGCAGTGGCGCGATCTCGGCTCACTGCAAACTCCGTCTCCCAGGTTCACACCATTCTCCTGCCTCAGCCTCCCAAGTAGCTGGGACTACAGGCGGCTGCCACCACGCCCAGCTATTTTTTTGTATTTTTAGTACAGACGGGGTTTCACCGTGTTATCCAGGATGGTCTCAATCTCCTGACCTCGTGATCCACCCGCCTCGGCCTACCAAAGTGCTGGGATTACAAGCGTGAGCCACCGTGCCCGGCCCAGTTCTTAATATCTATATGCCAGTGATCTCAGAGTACCTCTAGCTACGATCTTTCCTGACCTATCTATCCAACAGCTATTGGAACATTTCCACTTGGATGTCCAACAGGCCTTTCATACTCAACTGTCCAAAAGAGAATTCTTTACTTTTTCTCCCCAAACTCTTCCTCCACAAATCTTCTCCATCACTATCCATCAAATGGTCAATGCTTTTTGATTGTAAATGGTAAATGATCTACCTCTTAACTGAAGCAAAAAAACAGATGTTGCCCTTGATTCCTTGTTTTCCCCTTACTCTACATCTAAACCACGCAGAGTTGCTCTTCTCTACCATCAAAACATACCCCCAAATCCATCCATTTTTCTCTGTATTCACTGCTACACTCTTGTCTAGTTCAAGCCAACATCATCTCTCATTTGGAGTAATAAAATGACACCTCAAAGGTGCTTTTTGTAACTTAAGAAATCCTTCTCAGAGACATTTAAAAAAAAAGTTCTGGAGATAGATAGTAGTGCTGGTTGCACAATGTGAATGTCACTGAACTCAACAACTCAACATGGTTAACATGATAAATCTTATGTGTAACAAGATTTAACAAAGCAAACAAAAAAGAAATCTTTCCTAGAGACAATGGTCTCTTATATTCCTTTCCAAATACCTTGCAGCTGTGCCATTCACATTTAGGTCTTTATCTGGAAACTGTTGTCAATAGTTTGAAAGTAAGAATCTAATCCTGTCTGTATACCATAACAATGCCAGATATCTCAGCAACCATATATTTCATCATCCTTTATTGAATAGTCTATGCTTTCCCCCTGCTTTGCAATACCACTTAGTGGTATACTAAACTCCCGTATGTAAATAGGTATGTTTCTAGTGTCTCTATTCTGTTCCATGAATCTAATTCTCTATCCCTGAATCAATATCATACCATCTTAATAATTACAACTTTATATTAAGCTTTGGTATCTGATAGGGAGAGACCTTATTTTTCTTCTTCTTCAAAATTGACTTCACTATTCTTGGTCCCTTGCCTTTCCATATAAATTTTAAGTTCAGCATGGCAAATTCCATAAAACAATATGGTGATTTTAATTGGCATTACACTGAATTCGTAGAACTGAGGAAAACTGACATCTTTTTGTTGAGTCTTTCCATCTATTAATACGGTATATCTCACCATTTACTTGGGTCATCTTTTGTGTTCCAACAGAGCCTTACAATTTTCTGTCTAAAGGACTACACAGCTTTAGGTTCATCTATTTCTAGGTACCTTTAGTTTTGAATGCCATTATGAATAGTGTCTTTTTATTATTAAAACTCCTAGTTAATTGTTACTGGTATACAGAAGTTTTTAAATGCAGAAATTAAGGCCATTTCTGACATCCCCCTGGCCAAAATAACCCCTCTAGTCACTCTTTATCACATCACCAAATGGTACTTATTCCTTAACTGATTTCAGAGTCTCTCTGCCCCCACCAAAATTAGTTACCTGTTCACCATTGTATCCCAAGCGTCTAGAATAATAGCTGACACACATCAAGTGCACAAAAATGGAACTGATGAGATCAAGGAAGAGAATGTATGCAAGATGAAAAAAAGCAAATAAAAGATACTTGGGAAGAAGAAGACTTGGAGGCAATTTTTTTATTTTAAAGAGAGTGCAACAATATGGAAATCACCAGTTGGAAAAGATTTGAGGGATAGAAAGAGGGAACTAAATGGAAGAGCTGGGTTCCTTAGCGATCACATGAACACACACGATGTTAAAAAAAAAAAAAAAAAAAAAAAGGCAGCATGAGGTCGGGCGCGGTGGCTCACACCTGTAATCGCAGCACTCTGGGAGGCCGAGGCGGGGGATCACCTGATGTCAGGAATTCCAGACCAGCCTGGCCAACATGGACAAACCCCGTGTCTACTAAAAATACGAAAATCAGCCGGGCGTGGTAGCGCACGCCTGTAATCCCAGTTACTAGGGAGAATGAGGCAGGATAATTGCTTGAACCCAGGAGACGGAGGTTGCAGTGAGCCCAGATCGCGCCACTGCACTCCAGCCTGGCAGACAGACCGAGACTCCATCTCAAAAAAAAAAAAAAAAAAGGCAGCATGAGCTTAATGCGGGAAGTACAATTTAACCTAAGGAACAGAAAACAAGAATCTCATATCTCAACTAGTAAAAATAATGACAGTGTTCCTTTAGACTTACAGAACAGACTTGGGGAAAGGGAGTAACTTTAGAACCTTCTGGGGTCTTTCACTTTAAAATGACCGTTGCCGAGTTTAGAGCTCTCTCAGCATTCAATCTATTCCATCTCTGGGGTTAGAGAGGGAGCAGGAAGCGGTGGTCTGCAAGGCTCAGAAGTGACTGGTGAGGCCCTTTCCTCCTCCTCCTCATCTCTCCGTGACTACCGAGCCCGGGAAGACGGACCGGCAGGTGCACTCCCCAAGGCCTCGACAGCAGCCAGAGAAAGGCAGCGACAGGGAAAGACGAGTCAGGCTCGCGACCACCAGAGAGAGAGGCCCTCACGCCCAGCCGAGCGTCAGCTGGTCGGTCCGGTCCGCGCGCCAGACGGCGGTGCTCGGCCGTGCCCGGTCCCTGCCCTCCCCATTCTCCGCTCCCCACCGCGCCCAGCTGCGCCGACGCCCCCGTCCGCCCCCACACCACCCCTGCCTTCACGTCCTACCTGCCGGCAGGCGGACTCAGCCCGTGCCCAACTGCTCGTCGGACCCCGTTGTCTGGGGAGCCCTACTCTTTCCGCGGCTCCCGGCCGGGACCCTCCACCCGGCGGCTGGCGGCTCGTGACCCCGCCCCCTCGGCCCGCTCTGGGCCCGCCTCCCGCCGGCTGGCTCCACCCACAATAGCGTCCCTAGCGCGATGGCGTATCGGCGCAGGCGCACTCTGCCGGCAACGCCGAGGCGCTTCTGCATCTGTGGGCCGAGGTGTGTGGCGAGCGTCCGAGCGGCTGGGGAAAGTGGGGTGTGGGAACACTGAGGGGTCCCAAAGAAAGGGGAGAGGAAGAGAAAAGCCCCAGAAGCCTGTCCACCGGGTGCTGGGGGCACAGGGCGGTGTCCCCCACTCTCTCCGGGCCCTTCCTGGCGGGGCCGCACGGCAGTCCCCCCCTCGTTTAATCGTGGGTTTCCTGTGGGGCTAGGGCTCGCCCTGCGCCCAGGTGTAAGTGGAAGTTAATTAAATGGGCGTACGCTGAGTGGTTTGTTTCCAGCCTAGGTCCGCACGGGACGTGATTTATTTAGTGAAGGGGCACAAGATCTGGAGATCTGGCTTGTACTTTTTTCCTTTGGCCAGGAACTACGGCTTAATCTCTTCCTTTGGTCTCCTCATATGTAAAATGAGGTGGCTGAGGCCGGGCGCGGTGGCTCACGCCTGCAATCCCAGCACATTGGGAGGCCGAGGCGGGCAAATCACTTGAGGCCAGGAGTTCGAGACCAGCCTGGCCAACATGGTGAAACCCCGTCTCCACTAAAAATACAATAAATTGGCCTGGCGCGGTGGCTCACACCTGTTGTCCCAGCACTTTGGGAGGCCGAGGTAGGTGGATCATTTGAGATCAGGAGTTCGAGACCAGCCTGGCCAACATGGTGAAACCCTGCCTCTACTAAAAATACAAAATTTGGCCTGGCGTGGTGGCGGGCGCCTGTAGTCCCCGCTGCTTGGGAGGCTGAGGCAGGAGAATCGCTTGAGCCCGGGAGGCAGAGGTTGCAGTGAGCCGACATCACGACACTGCGCTCCAGCCTGGGCGACAGAGTGAGACTCTGTCTCGAAGTGTATATATACATATATATATATTATATATGTATTTTATATATAATATATATTTATTTTATATATAATATATAATATGTATATTATGTATATTATATATAATACGTATATTATATATAATACATATATATAATATGTATATTATATATTATATATAATATTATATTGTATATTATATATTATATATAATATATTGTATATTATATATATTATATATTATATATATTATATTGTATATTATATATAATATATTGTATATTATATAATATATTGTATATTATATATAATATACAGTATATTATATATAATATACTGTATATTATATATAATATATTGTATATTATATATAATATATTGTATATTACATATATTGTATATTACATATAATATATTGTATATTACATATATTGTATATTACATATAATATATTGTATATTATATAATATATAATATATATTATATAATATATTGTATATTATATATTATATAATATATTGTATATTATATATTATATAATATATTGTATATTATATATAATATATTGTATATTATATATTATATATTGTATATTATATATTATATATAAAAGTGTGTATATATATACACACACACACACACGATACAACACAGTACATTAGCTGGGCTTAGTAGTGCATGCCTGTAGTCCCAGCTACTCGGGAGGCTGAGGTGGGAGGATCGCTTGAACCCAGGAGGCAAGAGGTTGCAGGGAGCAGAGATCGCGCCACTGCACTACAGCCTGGGCGGCAGAGCCAGACCCTGTCTCAGTAAAATAAAATATAAACTAAAAGGAGGTGGTTGGGCTCACTGTATAATTTTTGAAGCACCTTTCAGAACTATCTTCTTTGATTCCTGTCTCCCAGGATCTTACCCTTTGTCATTCTCCTGAATGGGAAAAGAAATCCTTTGAATAATGGACGGTTTATACCTGGGTTGGGCACACTGGTGTAGAGTTAGGCCTCTTGCTTCTATTAGGGCTAATTGACCTTGGGTAGAATTGGCTGGCGAGTAAGATGTGGCATTAATATTCCAAGTAGACTCATTTTAATTTTGTTAAAAAATCAGAATGTCTTTTTTCTTAATGTTAACTGTCTTTCATAGACTTAACTGTTAAATATTGACATTTAATTATTTTGCCTCGTTTCAGAGGCAGATCCCCAAAGTATATGAAAGTTAATGATTTTTAATTTAATGTTACCTTACTCTTTTTATTAGCATTCTTCAGGTCATCTGAACCTTCTGAGAAAACATGGTCAACGTCTTGAAAGGAGTGCTTATAGAATGGTTAGTAGTTTTGATACTGCATGAGTTTTAAGTTTAAATATTGAATCTTGACTTGTATGTATGTCTTTTCTAAAACCCTGTTGTTTTTAAGATATGGATGAAATCAAGTCTTTCGCTTTTAACAAGTGGCACAGATTTTGTTGCAAAGCTCCTGGTGCCAGATTTCAGTCCCTCTGTTGAATTGATGGAACTGGCATGATCAGAGGCAGCATATTTGTTAGATGAGTCGTCTTTAGAGAAACAGTGCTTGCATTCTCCTCAAACATGATGAATTTTAGGGCCTGAAAGAGTTCAGGAACTTGCTTAAGTCTTTACCATTACAAACTGTGGACTTTAAAAAAGAGAAAAACAACAGAGCCAAATGGAGGTTTCTTAAATTCCTTTAGGTACATTCCAGAGGAGAAACTAAAAACCATAAATGGGCAGAGTTGAGTTCCTCAAAGCAATCCAGTGTCCAGGAACCCCGGGAACCCTGCTCTGTGGACACTCCCATTGTCTGAAAATACTACTGTCTACTTTCGGTGCCTCTAATATGAGCCAGTGCATGGATAATGATACTGTTTACTGTGATGGCAAGGCTAAGGAGGAGCAAGACCAAACCCTAGGACACTGCCAACATTTAGAACAGCACTAGCCAATAGAAATCTAATGCAAGCCACAGATATAGTCTTACATTTTTTCTAGCCATCTTAAAAGTAACGTAAAATGAAACAGGTGAAGTTAATATCTTTTGTTTAACCCTGTCTATGCAAAACACTATGCTTTGAACACATACTAAGTCTTCAAAAAAATCTTCATCTTCAAAGTCGAATGGATATTTTAATTTTACAGCACATCTCACAGACTAACCGTGTTTCAAGGACTCTGTAGTGACCTGACTAGTGGGCTACCTTATGCATAGTGCAGATTTGGAGTTTTGATACAGGAGACACCAACAAAGGCAACTAAGAAGAAAATAGCCAGTGAGGCTGGAGGGAGGAAAGCCAAAGGAGGAAGTGTTTTGTAGGGATGAGCGGCTGTGTTGGGCACTGATTGAGAACTGGCATGAGATGAAGACTGGAGTTTTGATGAGAGCCATTTGAATGGAGTGGTGGGGAGATGCCAGATTGAAGTACTGTGGAAAAGGAAAGGGAGGTGAGGAGGTGGAGATGGAGACTTCGGAGAAGTTTTACTGTGATCATGAGCAATCTCATAGAGAACTGGATTGGTAGCTGACGAAGGACATGGTGAGGGGCTCAGGTTCTTGCTATTTTTATTTTAATGTGAAAGACTAGAATGTACGTTGATGAGAGTAAACCACTGCGGGGGAGAGGTATTCACTTGGAAAAGCAAAGGGGGTGGGATCTGGACCCCAGAAGTTCTAAACACACTGTTCTGTTGTCTTTTGAAGGCACTAGGTTTGATGTACTTATTTTCCTATTAATTTGACATAACATAAACATTTTCCTCGTTGGCCTTTAGTGTTATTTTTAAATACAGAGGATACACATACACAGAGTGTCAGCTATCACTTTTTTTCCCTCGTTTCTTCCAATTCTAAGTTTAATCTTCACCCCTGGGTTTGTTAAATATTCACTTCTCTCTTCTGAGGGTTTTGTGTTTTTCTTGGTGTTTTAGATTCATTCATCTAGAATTTATTGGGAGGAGTGGCATAGGTTTGTTAAATATTCACTTCTCTCTTGTGGGGATTTTGTGTTTTTCTTGGTGTGTTAGATTCATTCATCTAGAATTTATTCAGAGAAGAGACATATTATTAGATAAGGATCTAAATTAGCTTCTTTTTTTTTTTTTTGACACGGAGTCTTGCTCTGTTGCCAGGTTGGAGTGCAGTGGCGCGATCTTGGCTCCTGGATTCAAGCGATACTGCTGCCTCAGCTGCCCGAGTAGCTGGGATTACAGGCACACACCACCACACCCGGCTAATTTTATTTTTGTATTTTTAGTAGAAATGGGGTTTCACCATGTTGGCCAGGCTGGTCTCGATCTCTTGACCTCATGATCCACCTGCCCCGGCCTCCCAAAGTGCTGGGATTACAGGCATGAGCCACTGCACCCAGCCTAGCTTCTTTTTTGTTTTGGGTGTTTTTGTCTGTTCATTTTGCCAAATATCTAGTTCTCCACCATTATTTCCTTTCTTAATGATGCTTGATGCCTCCTTAATCACATAATTTTACTCCCCTTGCTATTCTCTTTCATCCCTTCCCACATTCATCTTTCTTGTTGCCTATTCTAGAATAACCTTGAAATAACTTAGTCTGTTTCCAAAATAATCCTTTTGGCATATTGGTTGGAATTGCATTAAACCTACGTTTTAATTTGAAAAAAAAGATGACTGGATTGCATCTTAAAGAACAAAACTCTGGGGAGACTCTGAAGTCTCAGTGCCCGGTTTGCTGTCCCGTATCTAACCTCTGAATTCTACCTGGTCTCTCTAATGACTGTCCATCACCTTGCACTTCAGGGTAATCCCCAGACTAGCAGTAATAGCATCATCTGGAGCTTGTTAGAAATGCAAAATCTCAGACCTCACCCTAAATCTACTAAATCAGAATTGTGCATACAAAGAATCTTGTTAAGATGCATTTAAATTTTGAGAAGCAATAATACTGTTAATCAGCTTCAGTTTAATAATGTTTCCCTGTGGAGAAGTGTTTTGCACCAGGACTATTAAATTTTATTTTGCAGGTTAGGTACCATCCTTGCAAAACTAATTTTTCCCTTTGAAGTGAATTCTAAAGTGTAGTCTGCACAATTTTTCAAAAGGGTAACTCTGTCTTCCCAAAAACACAAGTCTTCCAAAAAGATTTTGGGCCTAAGAAATAACATAGATTCCCAAAGGAAAGGGTATGGCCAGTGCTAGTGGATTCCCTTTCACAGTTAGATGCAGATGTTAGGATGGTAACTGGAAAAGTCCTTCAGTTTCCCTCATGTCCATATTTGATGCCAAGGAGAAGCCTGTTAATAATATGATTATCAGTATAAGTCTGTTTATTACTTCATAATATCCATGGATTGTATGAAGCATTTAGGTGTATTGGAGTATGGAATTTGATAGGTCTGGAGTTTACAGGCAGACCACTCAAGGATCTTCTACAGCTGTTGCAGGTGAATACCAAAATTGAGGCTCAGCCCTGGAAGCCAAGTTGGTTTTTGGCTTCATGCAGGAAAGAATTCAAGAATGAGCCACAGAGTAAAGTGAAAGCAAGTTTATTAAAAATGAGGGAATAAAAGGGTGGCTACCCCATAGGCAGAGTGGAGTGGGGAGGGTGGGAAGCAGGCGGGCCTGCTAACTGGCTATTTTATGGCCATTTCTTGAGTATATGTTAAACAAGGGGTGGATTATTCGTGAGTTTTCTGGAAAAGAGGCAGGGATTCTGTGGAACCAGGAGTCCCCAGTCCAGACCATACGGGGTAACTTCTAGATATTGCCATGGCATTTGTAAACTGTCGTGGTGCTGGTGGGGGTGGTTTTTAGCGTGCGCATGCATTATGATTTGTGTATGATAGTGGTGAAGGTTGCTTTTGTTGCCATCTTGGTTCTGGCTGGTTTCTTTACTGTATCCTCGCTTATCGGTGGGGTCTTCTGACCTGTTGTTTACTGTCTCTCTTGTCTTGGAAACTAGTCCTGCTGAATTCCTATCTCACAGCTGCTTCCACTGTCCCAGGAATCTCTCCAAATTCCAGTCCCATCATTGTATTAATAGAAACTGATGTGTAATAGCTTATATAGTGCTGATCCACATATATCTTAGATTGGCTTCACTTAACTGCCATATTTAAACTCCATTTCTATCAGTTAAGTTTAACTGATTTTGAGTCTGCAGAGATTTGCTAAAGAAGTAAACCAAATTATGATGATGGCCATTTATTCTCACCTTCAGAGAATTGAAAAATCAGGGCACTTGGATATAATCTTAACTCCCAAGGGCTTATCAAATACTAAAATTGAAGGCTATAAAAGAAGTTTTATGTTTATAAATTTGCACTTTTATGTCAAAACTGAAAGGTTGGTGAAAATTTCCTCTTTGTTGGGATCCACCATCAATTGCCAGGCTCACACTAAGTATTCTCCCAAATCTAGCCACCAAGCAATTACCAAAGCAAGCAACACATGACCACAGTATGTCTGTGTCCAGTTCCAGATGCTGGAGCAGACCTCTGGTATAACAGTTGCCACAATTGGTTTGGCAAGTGCTTCAGCAAAGATTTGTTGCCAAGGTGCAAATTCCAACCAGTTTACATCACAATAGCAAAGAATCTGGAGAAATATGTATTATTAAACTACACTTATCCTTATGAGTTTGGCTTCTAAAGCTATATCGTTTATGAGAAGCGAAGTAAGAAGTATGGCAAAACCAGTCTAACCATTGTTCTGTTTTTTTCTCAGCATGTATAAATCTTTTCTCAGCCTTTGCCTCTTAGTAGGGCCATGTTCGCTGAAGTTTTCCAGGCACCCAAAACTGTGCCTGAGATGTGTGTGTGTGTGTGTGTGTGTGTGTGTGTGTGTATACACACACACACACATACACATATATAGATATGGCTTAGTAAATATTTGTGTACTGAATAAATTTTGTTAACAGAATTGAGTCCAGGTTTGTGATCTCAGCCAAAATCCCAAATTTATTAATGTTCCTTTAGAGCCTCTCTATTCCTACAGTGAGATTCACAGTGAATAAGATGGGATTCTTGATAAATTAAAGTTTTAGTTTGAAACAGATGTGTATACTAGGCCTCCTTTTAGCATGTTGTATATCAAAATAGCTTTTAAATGAGGAGGCTGTTGTCTTCCAGTCATAGCTTTTAAAAAGCAAGCACCCCACCAAGCTGCTGATGGAAGTGTAATCCCAAGAAACAACTGTAAGCAACTTGTGATGGGTGTTTTGTGCTTTTATATCCTTTAACACAATAACTCCGTTTCTATAAGTTTATCTTTAGGAAATCGCTGGGTGCAGTGGCTCACGCCTGTAATCCCAACACTTCAGGAGGCTGAGGCGGGTGGATGGCTTGAGGTCAGGAGTTTGAGACCAGCCTGGCCAACATGGTAAAACCCTGTCTCTACTAAAAATACAAAAATTAGCTGGGCATGGTGGTGGACGCCTGTAATCCCAGCTACTGGGGAGGCTGAGGCAGGAGAATCACTTGAACCCAAGAGGCAGAGGTTGCAGTGAGCCAAGATCATGCCACTGCACTCCAGCCTGAGCAACACAGTGAGACCCCATTTCAAAAAAAAAAAAAATTTTAGGAAATGATCAGAACTGCCAATAAAAATGTATGTATTTAATGTGCTAGAAAAAGAAATTTGTTGATTGTGGCATATTTTAATCAAATAATATAGCTGTTAAAATATTTGCAGACATTTTAAGTGATTCAGGGAAATGACACTGTACAATGATGTTAAGTGAAAACACCTGGATTCCTGTACTAACGCTGTTTTCCATGTGACATGTGCTATACTAAGCACTTGCTAATATTAATTTAGTTTTCACAACAGCCCTTTGAGGTAAGTGCTGTCATCTCCATTTATGGATGTACAAAGTGAGATACTTTGTATCAATTAATCAATTGCTCAGTTACATAGCTATTGTTAAACTGGGATTTTAAATCCCGGTATTCTGGCTCCAGAGCCCAGGCTACTAAACGTTACATATACTATCTCTCCATTATAAAACTAAGTATAATATTGTGTTTGCTTTTGTTTTTTTTTTGAAACGGAGTCTCACTGTCACCCAGCCTGGAGTGCAGTGGCACAATCTTGGCTCACTGCAGCCTCTGCCACCTGGGTTCAAACGATTCTCCTGCTTCAGCCTCCCAAGTAGTTGGGATTACAGGTGCCTGCCACCATGCCTGGCTAATTTTTGAAGTTTTAGTAGAGATGGGGTTTCACTATCTTGGCCAGGCTGGTCTTGAACTCCTGACCTCGTGATCCACCCACCTCGGCCTCCCAAAATGCTGGGATTACAGATGTGAGCCATTGCGCCCAGCCTATGTTTGCTTTTTAAAAGGATATACGTATGTCTTAGAATTATACCATATATATTCATAGGTTAATGGTTTTGTAATTGAAATAGTAAATTGCCGAGACCAGCTCGGTCTGGGAGACCCTAACCCAGCAGCGCTAGAGGAATTAAAGACAGACACACAGAAATATAGAGGTGTGGGGTGAGAAATCAGGGGTCTCACAGCCTTCAGAGCCGAGAGCCCCGAACAGAGATTTACCCACTTATTTGTTAACAGCAAGCCAGGGATGAGCATTGTTTCTATAGATTATAGATTATAGATTACCTAAAAGTATTCCTTATGGGAAACAAAGGGATGGGCCAAAATAAAGGGATGGGTTGGGCTAGTTATCTGCAGCAGGAGCATGTCCTTAAGGCACAGATCACTCACGCTATTGTTTGTGGTTTAAGAAAGCCTTTAAGCGGTTTTCCGCCCTGGGTGGGCCAGGTGTTCCTTGCCCTCATTCCAGTAAACCCACAGCCTTCCAGCGTGGGTGTCATGGCCATCATGAACATGTCACAGTGCTTCAGAGATTTTGTTTATGGCTAGTTTTGGGGCCAGTTTATGGCCAGATTTTGGGGTGCCTGTTCCCAACAGTAAATCATTTGATAGGGATAGAACTAATTGTAATTTAAACCTCTCTGCCTATATCCTCTCACATGGTCTTGGCATTTTAATTGCTCATTTGAGTACCTACTATGAGCAAGATGTTTTAGAAATATTCTGTAGTCCATCAACTTTGCAGTGTAGCTATGGTACTAACATTGCTGTTACAGATCACAGGCTCTTTGGCTCCCTATGTAATAAAAATTAACACAGAGCTATACAGTTTTCCCAGATGAGGCTTTTATTTCAGGGTTTATCCACAAATGCAAGGGAGACAGTACAGTAGTAAGAACTCTGCGGCTGACCCCCAAAAAAGCTGATGGGGACTTTTTGATTAGGCAAAGCATGGGAATTGACATCAGGGATAAGGTATGCAGGCTGCGCTGGGTAAAGCACATGAAGGGTACAGTATGTGGTCAGCATCTGTGGTTGCAGTGGTTATCATACTTTAAGTTCTGGGTTAAATGTGCAGAACGTACAGTTTTGTTACATAGGTATACATGTGCCATGGTAGTTTGCTGCACCCATCTACCCGTCACCTACACTAGGTATTTCTCCTAATGTTATCCCTCCCCTAGACCCCAACACCCCACAGGCCCTGGTGTGTGATGATCGCCTCCCTGTGTCCATGTGTTCTCATTGTTCACCTCCCACTTATGAGCGAGAACATGCAGTGTTTGGTTTTCTGATCTTGTGATAGTTTGCTGAAAATGATGGTTTCCAGCTTCATCCATGTCCCTACAAAGGACATGAACTCATCCTTTTTTATGACTGCATAGTATTCCGTGGTGTATATGTGCCACATTTTCTTAATCCAGTCTATCATTGATGGACATTTGGGTTGGTTCCAAGTCTTAGCTATTGTGAATAGTGCCACAATAAACATACATGTGCATGTGTCTTTATCATAGAATGATTTATAATCCTCTGGGAATATGCCCAGTAATGGGATTGCTGGGTCAAATGGTATTTCTAGTTCTAGATCCTTAAGGAATCGCCACGCTGTCTTCCACAATGGTTGAACTCCCACCAACATTGTAAAAGCATTCCTGGCTGGGCGCGGTGGCTCACACCTGTAATCCCTGTAATCCCAGCACTTTGGGAGGCCAAGACAGGCGGATCACGAGGTCAGGAGATCGAGACCATCCTGTCTAACACGGTGAAACCCCGTCTCTATTAAAATTAGCCAGGCATGGTGGCTACTCAGGAGGCTGAGGCAGGAGAATGGCATGAACCCAGGAGGTGGAGCTTGCAGTGAGCCAAGATTGTGCCACTGCACTCCAGCCTGGGAGACAGAGCGAGACTCCATCTCAAAAAAAAAAAAAAAAAAAAAGCATTCCTATTTTTCCACAACCTCTCCAGCATCTGTTGTTTCCTGACTTTTTAATGATCGCAATTCTAACTGGTGTGAGATGGTATCTCATTGTGGTTTTGATTTGCATTACTCTAATGACCAGTGATGATGAGCATTTTTTTATATATCTGTTGGCTGCATAGATGTCGTCTTTTGAGAAGTGTCTGTTCATATCCTTTGCCCATTTTCTGATGGGGTTGTTTGCTTTTTTCTTGTAAATTTGTTTAAGTTCTTTGTAGATTCTGGATATTAGCCCTTTGTCAGACAGGTAGATTGCAAAAATCTCCCATTCTGTAGGTTGCCTGTTCACTCTGATGATAGTTTCTTTTGCTGTGCAGAAGCTCTTTAGTGTAATTAGATCCCACTTGTCATTATTGGCTTTTGTTGCCATTGCTTTTCTTGTTTTAGACATGAAGTCTTTGCCCATGCCTGTGTCCTGAATGAAGCCCAGGTTTTCTTCTAGGATTTTTATGGTCCTAGGTGTTATGTTTAAGTCTTTGATCCATCTTGAGTTGATTTTTGTATAAGGTGTAAGGAAAGGGTCCGGTTTCAGTTTGCTGCATATGGCTAGCCAGTTTTCCCGACACCATTTATTAAATAGGGAATCTTTTCCCCATTGCTTGTGTGTGTCAGGTTTGTCAAAGATCAGATGGTGGTAGATGTGTGGTGTTATTTCTGAGGCCTCCGTTTTGTTCCATTGGTCTATATATCTGTTTTAGTACCAGTATCATGCTGTTTTGGTTACTGTAGCCTTGTAGTATAGTTTGAAGTCAGGTAGCGTGATGCCTCTAGTTTTGTTCTTCTTGCACAGGATTGTCTTGGCTATGTGGGCTCTTTTTTGGTTCCATATGAAGTTTAAAGTAGTTTTTTCCAATTCTGTGAAGAAAGTCGGTGGTAGCTTGATGGGGATAGCATTGAATCTATAAATTACTTTGGGCAGTAAGGCCATTTTCACGATATTGATTCTTCCTATCCACGAGCATGGAATGTTTTTCCCTTTGTGTCCTCTCTTATTTCCTTGAGCAGTGGTTTGTAGTTCTTGAAGAGGTCTTTCACATCCCATGTTAAGTTGTATTCCTAGGTATTTTATTCTGTTAGTAGCAATTGTGAATGGGAGTTCACTCATGATTTGGCTCTCTGTTTGTCTGTTATTGGTGTATAGGAATGCTTGTGATTTTTGCACATTGATTTTGTATCCTGAAACTTTGCTGAAGTTGCTTATCAGCTTAAGATTTTGGGTTGAAATGGTGGGGTTTTCTAAATATACAATCATGTCATCTGCAAACAGAGATGATTTGACTTCCTCTCTTCCTATCTGAATACCCTTTATTGCTTTCTCTTGCCTGATTGCCCTGTCCAGAACTTCCAATACTATGTGGAATAGGAGTGGTGAGAGAGGGCATCCTTGTCTTGTGCCGGTTTTCAAAGGGAATGCTTCCAGTTTTTGCCCATACAGTATGATATTGGCTGTGGGTTTGTCATAAATAGCTCTTATTATGAGATAATAAGAGATACATTCCATCGATACGTAGTTTATGGAGAGTTTTTAGCATGAAAGGCTGTTGAATTTTGTCGAAGGCCTTTTCTGCTGTTGAATTTTGTCGAAGGCCTTTTCCGCATCTTTTGAGATAATCGTGGTTTTTGTCATTGGTTCTGTTTATGTGATGGATTACATTTATTGATTTGCGTATGTTGAACCAGCCTTGCATCCCAGGGATGAAGCTGACTTGATCGTGGTGGATAAGCTTTTTGATGTGCTGCTGGATTCGGTTTGCCCGTATTTTATTGAAGATTTTTGCATAGATGTTCATCAGGGATATTGGCCTAAAATTCTCTTTTTTTGTTGTGTTTCTGCCAGGGTTTGGTATCAGGACAATGCCGGCCTCAAAATGAGTTAGGGAGGATTCCCTCTTTTTCTGTTGATCGGAATAGTTTCGGAAGGAATGGTACCAGCTCCACTTTGTACCTCTGGTAGAATTTGGCTGTGAATCCATCTGGTCCTGGACTTTTTTTGGTTGGTAGGCTATTAATTATTGCCTCAATTTCAGAATCTGCTGTTGGTCTATTCAGAGATTCACCTTCTTCCTGGTTGAGACTTGGGAGGGTGTATGGTCCAGGAATTTGTCCATTTCTTCTACATTTTCTAGTTTATTTGCATAGAGGTGTTTATAGTATTCTGATGGTAGTTTATATTTCTGTGGGATCGGGTTGATATCCCCTTTATCATTTTTTATTGTGTCTGTTTGATTTTTCTCTCTTTCTTCTTTATTAGTCTTGCTAGCGGTCTATCTATTTTGTTGATCTTTAAAATAAACCAGCTCCGGGATTCATTGATTTTTTTTTTTTTTGAAGGGTTTTTTTGTCTCTATCTCCTTCAGTTCTGCTCTGATCTTAGTTATTTCTTGTCTTCTGCTAGGTTTTGAATTTGTTTGCTCTTGCTTCTCTAGTTCTTTTAATTTGATATTAGGGTGTCGATTTTAGATCTCTCCTGCTTTCTCTTGTGGGCATTTAGTGCTATGAATTTCCCTCTACACACTGCTTTAAATATGTACCAGAGATTCTGGTACGTTGTATCTTTGTTCTCACTGGTTTCAAAGAACATCTTTATTTCTGCGTTAATTTTGTTATTTACCCAGTAGTCATTCAGGAGCAGATTGTTCAGTTTCCATGTAGTTGTGTGGTTTTGAGTGAATTCTTAATCCTGAGTTCTAATTTGATTGCACTGTGGTCTGAGAGACAGTTTGTTGTGATTTCTGTTCTTTTACATTTGCTGAGGAATGTTTTACTTCCAATTATATGGTCAATTTTAGAATAAGTGTGATGGGATGCTGAGAAGAATGTATATTCTGTTGATTTGGGTCGGGGAGTTCTGTAGATGTCTGTTAGGTCCACTTGGTCCAGAGCTGAGTTCAAGTCCTGGATATCCTTGTTAATTTTCTGTCTCATTGATCTGTCTAATATTGATGGTGGGGTGTTAAAGTCTCCTGTTATTATTGTGTGGGAGTCTAACTCTCTTTGTAGGTCTCTAAGAACTTGCTTTACGAATCTGGGTCCCCCTGTATTGGGTGCATATACGTTTAGGTTAGTTAGCTCTTCTTGTTGAATTGATCCCTTTACCATTATGTAATGGCCTTCTTTGTCTCTTTTGATCTTTGTTGGTTTAAAGTCTGTTTTTAATCAGAGACCAGGATTGCAACCTCTGCTTTTTTTTTTTGCTTTGCTTTCGCTTGGTAGATCTTCCTCCATCCCTTTATTTTGGGCCTATGTGTGTCTTTGCACATTAGATGGGTCTCCTGAATACAGCACACCAACGGGTCTTGACTCTATCCCATTTGGCAGTCTGTGTCTTTCAATTGGGGCATTTAGCCCATTTACATTTAAGGTTAATATTGTTATGTGTGAATTTGATCCTGTCATTATGAGGCTAGCTGGTTATTTCGCCCATTAATTGAGGCAGTTTCTTCCTAGCATCGATGGTCTTTACAATTTGGCATGTTTTTGCAGTGGCTGGTACCGGTTGTTCCTTTCCATGTTTAGTGTTTCCTTCAGGAGCTCTTGTAAGACAGGCCTGATGGTGACAAAATCTCTCAGCATTTGCTTGTCTGTAGAGGATTTTATTTCTCCTTCACTTATGAAGCTTAGTTTGGCTGGATATGAAATTCTGGGTTGAAAATTCTTTTCTTTAAGAATATTGAATATTGGCCCCCACTCTCTTCTGGCTTGTAGGGTTTATGCGGAGCGATCCGCTGTTAGTCTGATGGGCTTCCCTTTGTGAGTAACCTGACCTTTCTCTCTGACTGCCCTTAACATTTTTTCCTTCATTTCAACCTTGGTGAATCTGACAATTATGTGTCTTGGGGTTGCTCTTCTTGAGGAGTATCTTTGTGGTGTTCTCTGTATTTCCCGAATTTCAATGTTGGCCTGCCTTGCTAGGTTGGGGAAATTCTCCTGGATAATATCCTGAAGAGTGTTTTCCAACTTGGCTCCATTCTCCTCGTCACTTTCAGATACACCAATCAAACGTAGATTTGGTCTTTTCACATAGTCGCATATTTCTTGGAGGCTTTGTTCATTTCTTTTCATTCTTTTTCCTCTCATCTTGTCTTCTTGTTGTATTTCATGAATTTGATCTTCAATCAATGATATCCTTTCTTCTGCTTGATCAAATCGGCTATTGAAGCTTGTATGTGCTTCACGAAGTTCTCGTACTGTGGTTTTCAGCACCATCAGGTCATTTAAGCTCTTCTCTACACTGGTTATTCTAGTTAACCATTCGTCTAAACTTTTTTCAAGGTTTTTAGCTTCCTTGCGATGGGTAGAACATCCTCCTTTAACTCACAGAAGTTTGTTATTACCGACCTTCTGAAGCCAACTTCTGTCATCTCGTCAAACTCATTCTCCATCCAGTTTTCTTCCCTTGCTGGTGAGGAGTTGTGTTCCTTTGGAAGAGAAGAGGTGTTCTGGTTTTTGGAATTTTCAGCCTTTCTGCTCTGGTTTCTCCCCATCTCTGTGGTTTTATCTATCTTTGGTCTTTGATGTTGGTGACCTATGGATGGGGTTTTGGTGTGGATGTCCTTTTTGGTGATGTTGATGCTACTCCTTTCTGTTTGTTAGTTTTCCTTCTAACAGACAGGACCCTCAGCTGCAGGTCTGTTGGAGTTTGCTGGAGGTCCACTCCAGACCCTGTTTGCCTGGGTATCACCAGTGGAGGCTGCAGAACAGTAAATATTGCTGCCTGATCCTTCCTCTGGAAGCTTCATCGTAGAGGGGCACCTGCCTGTATGAGGTGTCTGTCAGCCCCTACTGGGAGGTGTCTCCCAGTCAGGCTACATGGGGGTCAGGGACCCATTTGAAGAGGCAGTCTATCCATTATCGGAGCTCAAATGCCATGCTGGGAGAACCACTGCTCTCTTCAGAGCTGTCAGGCAGGGACGTTTAAGTCTGGAGAAGCTGTGTGCTGCCTTTTGTTCAGATATGTCCTGCCTTCAGAGGTGGAATCTAGAGAGGCAGTAGGCCTTGCTGAGCTGCAGTGGACTCTGCCCAATTTGAGCTTCCCTGCTGCTTTGTTTACACTGTGAGCATGGAACCGCCTACTCAAGCCTCAGCAATGGCGGTCACCCCTCCCCCCACCAAGCTCCGGTGTCCCAAGTCAATCTCAGACGCTGCGCTAGCAGCAAGCAAGGCTCCGTGGGCGTGGGACCCACCGAGCCAGGCACAGGAGGGGATCTCCTGGTCCGCTTGTTGCGAAGACAGTGGGAAAAGTGCAGCATTTGGGCTGGAGTGTATTGCTCCTCCAGGTATAGTCACTCATAGCTTCCCTTGGCTAGGAAAGGGAAATCCCCTGACCCCTTGCACTTCCTGGGTGAGGCGACACCCTGCCCTGCTTCGGCTCGCCCTCCATGGGCTGCACCCACTGTCCAACCAGTCCCAATGAGATGAACCAGGTACCTCAGTTGGAAATGCAGAAATCACCTGTCTTCTGTGTCGATCTTGCTGGGAGCTGTACACCAGAGCTGTTCCTATTTGGCCATCTTGGAAGTGACTCAGTTGTTCAGCTTTATTTTCCAAGGTGGGACACTCCACAACCTTGGTTTGATACTTAGATTTCCTAAGTAAAAGGCATGGTTACACATGAGAGCACAGAAGAATGGCTATTTTCTTTGTATAATTAAAGCCTTGGGGTTAGCGGGTACATCACCAGCAAGGTAGTGATTTGGGTTTTCTGATCAGTGGGACAAGAAAAGGAAAAAAAAAAGGAAAAACATGTGAAGGAGGAGCCGCATCGAATTCCTGTTCTCATTTCTAGTTAGAAGCCTGAGAAGTTGAGAGGTTGAGTAACTTTATACATTATACATATTTTGGTTGGCAGAGCTGGGGTCTGGGGCTAGGCTTTCTGGGTCCAGTACTCTCTTTAGACTTTTGTGTCTTTGTAACAGTAAAACCCCTATTATATGTTTTCTTGGGAAAATGGTAGCTGTGTTTCTGGTTAACTTAATGTCTCCTATGGTGTCTCTTCTCTTAAGACCCTACTCATGTACCAAATTGTTATTGAGCACCTATAATGTTCTGGGCTCTAATCTAGACACCCATATCTCAGATTGAACAAAACCCAGACTCAGAAAACACTTTGGAAAATGCTTTTAAAGGGGAAATAAACCTAAGACAGTCTACTCCCAGGATATATGGAATTTATGGAGTAATACTTAAAAATTTTTTAAGTAATATCTGTTGGCCAGTTATTATCAAGAAAGATAGTTTACCATTGACTAAGCCAAGATTGTTCTGATGGATTGTCAGTGCTGACAGCTTTGACCAGACTATTTTACAGCTCACTGCATCATCCTGGTTACCATTATACCATTATCATGCTATAATCCTTTTCAGAGTCATACTTTATAGGAGCTATACTAAGCTTCTTTAGGAGAAGGTTTCATGATATCTGCCCTTCACACTTCCAGGGCAAAGTTGTTTCTTTTCTGTACAATAGCCTTGATCCTGGGACTTCAAGTATGTATATATGCTCTTGGCTTTGGGTTTTGTTTTTTTTTCTGCTACTCTCAATATAGAAGTGGAATGGCTCTGTGTTCAGATAGGAATATTCCAGGCTCTTTGTGTTTCATGACAAAATGTCCCTTAAACTTTGAGTGTCTTTTTTTTTTTTTTAATAATTAAAGAGTCTTTTTAAATCATTACATGTTATCTTTACTTCAGGTACATGCTTGAAAATTCAATCTCAAATTGTCTTTCAAAAGTTTGAGGCATGCCAGACACGGTGGCACACGCCTGTAATCCCAACACTGGGAAGCCGAGGCTGGAGGATCGCCCAAGCCCAGGAGTTCAAGACCAGCCTGAGCAATGTGGTGAAACCCCATTTCTACAAAAAATACAAAAATTAGCCAGGCATGGTGGCGTGCGCCTGTAGACCCAGTTAGTCAGGAGGCTGAGGTGGGAGGATTACCTCATCCCTAGGAGGTTGAGGCTGCAGTGAATTGGGATTGTGCCACTGCACTCCAGCCTAGGCAACAGAGTGAGGCCCTGTCTCAAAAAAAAAAAAAAAAAAAGTTTGAAGCGATTGATATTAAAGCGTTATTTCAGTGTTCACTGGCCAGTCATTCCTCTAAGCTGTCTCATTTGTCAGTTAGCATATTTCCCCAAGTGTGCGGAATACCATTAGTGTTCAAGATGATTTGAAGAACATACATTTTGGGGGAGTAGAATAGAAAAATAGGCCAGGCTCAATGGCTCACAACTGTAATCCCAACACTTTTGGAGGCCGAGGCGGGTGGGTTGCTTGAGTCCAGGAGTTCGACATAACAGAACCCTATCTCTACAAAAAAATACAAAAAAAATCTGGGTGCAGTGACATGTGCCTGTAGTCCCAGCTACTGGGAAGGCTGAGGTGGGAGAATCATCTGAGCCCAGGAGGTCAAGGCTGCAGTGAGCCGTGATGACGCCTACTGCCCTCCAGCCTGGGTGACGGTGAGACTCTGTCTCAAAAAAAATAAAGAGAGCAAAAAAATTTTTTATATGACCAGTTTAATTTATTTGAGGAGAAGAGGAAACTGACATATCAAACTCTTGGTTTTATGCCAGATGAAACGTTAGTTGATTTAAAGGCAATTTAAAGAAAAATATTAAGTGATTTGCAACAGAGATGTTACAAGAGATGGCTAAAATAGCAAGGATGGTATACAAATGGCAAACATTTTGAAAGCATTGGTGTGATGATTCAGCACAGATATGAGTCCTGAGGCGCTTCTTGGTTTTAGTGGTTTAGCTCTGACTTCATTAAGATGATGTAAATTTATTCCATTTAGAAAATTCCCAAAGTCTTCATAACCACTTAACTCTTGCTGCCTTTAATACCTGTTAGTAGTAGCCAGTTACTGAGAATAAATTGGTGTCATCTGAATGTACTGAGCTCAAACTGTAACAAGTTAATCTATCACATGCAGACAGCAATGTTTCAATGTCCAGTTTGTCTTTTATTACTGTTACATTTGGATCCAAAGTTTATTTTAAAGGGCTAACACAAAACAACTGTTGGTCCTGTAAATCAAAAAGTATCTGAGACAAGTCTCAATCAATTTTGAAGTTTATTTTGCCAAGGTTAAGGACATGCCCATGACATATCCTCAGAAGGTCCAGACAACTTGTGCCCAAGGTGTTCGGGCTACAGCTTGGTTTTACACATTTTAGGGAGACAAAATATCAATCAATACATGTAAGATGTACATTGGTTCAGTCTGGAAAGGCAGGACAACTCAAAGCAAGGGGAATGGGGGGCGGGCTTCCCGGTCATAGGTAGATTCAAAGATTTTCTTATTGGCAGTTGATTGAAAGAGTTATTATCTAAAGACCTGGAATCAATAGAAAGGAATGTGTGGGTTAAGGTAAAGAGCTGTGGAGACCAAGGTTTTATCACGCAGATGAAGTCTCCAGGTAGCAGGCTTCAGAGTTGTTTTTGTTTTGTTTTGTGTTTTGTTTTGTGTTTTGTTTTGTTTTGTTCTTATTAGACGAAGTCTCCCTCTTGTCTCCCAGGCTGGAGTGCAATGGTGTGATCTCGGCCCACTACACCCCTCACCTCCTGGGTTCAAGCGATTCTCCTTCCTCAGCCTCCTGAGTAGGTAGTATTACAAGCGCCTGCCACCACGCCCGGCTAATTTTTGTATTTTTTTGTAGAGACGGGGTTTCATCATGTTGGCCAGGCTGGTCTCGAACTCCTGACCTCAGGTGATCCACCCACCTCAGCCTCCCAAAGTGCTGGGATTACAGATGTGAGCCACCGCACCTGGCCCAGAGCTCTTATCAGACCTAAAAAGGTGCCAGACTCCCCTGGATCAGGGAAAAGACCTGGAAAGGAATGGAGAGTCTCTACAGAGTCGATTATTCCCACAAGAGACAGCTTTGCAGGGCCGTCTCAAAATATGTCAAAGAAACATATTTTGGTGTAAAATACAATTTCTTTCAGGGCCTGCCATCTGCCATGTGATGCTTTACAAAAGTCAAGCTGGAATTTGGTGTTTTATTCCTACAAAAAGTCTGTTACCTGGGTCTTAAGATCTCTGTTTTTTTGTTTGTTTGTTTGAAATGGAGTCTCGCTCTGTTGCACAGGCTGGAGTTCAGTGGCGCGATCTTGGCTCACTGCAAGCTCCGCCTCCCAGGTTCATGCCATTCTCCTGCCTCAGCCTCCCGAGTAGCTGGGACTACAGGTGCCTGCCACCACATCTGGCTAATTTTTGTATTTTTAGTAGAGATGGGGTTTCACCGTGTTATCCAGGATGGTCTTGATTTCCTGACCTCGTGATCCGCCTGCCTCGGCCTCCCAAAGTGCTGGGATTACAGGCGTGAGCCACCGCACCCGGCCAAGATCTCTGTTTTAATGTTAATACTGGTCAGCTATGCCTGAATTCAAAGGGAGGTGGGTATGAGGCATGCCCAACCCCCATTCCCATCATGGCCTGAACTAGTTTTTCAGGTTAACTTTGGAATGCCCTTAGCCAAGGGGAGGGTCCATCAGTCAGTTGGCAGATGGGGGGTGGGGTGCTTAGAACTTTATTTTTGGTTTACAATCCCATTGTGTAAAGTGTATACTAAGAAACCTCTATGATTTTTATAGAATATATTGAAGTACTTGTGGGGCCTGGAGAGTGAAGTGGGCACCACGGTCATATGAGTCCTCCCTTGTTTGCAAGGAAAGCTTAATTGTAGAGCACTGAAGTCCAGGTTTTTGTCTGACTCTCCCCTCCCCAGCCATCATACCTGTCTACTGTTGAATTACTCTCCTTTTATTCTCCCCACCAGTCCCTCCCCTTCTACCTTTATTTGTATGTGCAAGGAAGATTTGAGGGAAACAACTAAATTTTTAAAGAGTCTGAGTAGAAAAACAATGGTTTTCAAGAAACTGAAACTTTGGTTTCTCTGTCCTATAGGCCTCATTTTCCTTTCTGCAATATCATCGGGAAGCACCCTGTTTAACCTGCTTCATCAACCCCACGTTCCTTCTAGAATTGCTCTTCAAGCTTTTTTCTATTTTATGTTTCCACCTGTGCTCTTTGTCAATAATTAATCAATTGTTTACCTCTGAAATTTCTCAGTGTACAGTGTCTTACTGTTCTAGAAAATCTTTTCATTTAAATTCTTATTCTGTATAATACTCAAATTAGAGAATTGCTGAAAATGTGAAGTTTAACATTTTTTTGTATCTGCTTAAATCAGTGACCATTATGCTCTGTTTGTAAAATACCCCATTCATCCTCCTGTCACCAGCTGTTGTTGCCATTCAGTTGCATGTCAGTGTCATCCCGGAGATCCTCATTCTCATTAAGCCTTATATGCCGATTTTTCCTTTTTTTCAGTCACCCAATAAACCACAGACTCCCAAGCTATCTCTGTCTCTTGCATTTTCATGATCTATGGCCCTGTTCACCATCTCCTACCCACCACCCTCCCCCACCTACCCACCGCAATCCTTTCCACTTTGCCCTCTGGGACATAGTGAGATGGCAGCAGCAGGATGCCCTGTAGCCTCAGCCTCTTCTCTGAACTTTCCTTTTTCCTTCCCCCACCCACCTTTTCCTTTTTTGCTGTGACAAAACCTGACTTTGTCCTGAGCTCACTGCTTCTCCCACCACCTTATCAGGTGGTGCCTTTTTTCCTCTACAAAGGCACCCTCTTGTACCATTGGGTCAGGAAACAGGATCAGTACCTTGCTTATTATTGCCACTTCCAGAAATTCTCCCTCCCTCTTCCATAGAAACCCCCAGTTATCAATCCCAGATCATCAGAGTGGACTACCCACCAACCCTCCTCTTTATAATCATCTACAGACACCCCAATCTGTCCTGAAGGTTTTCCCTTGAAAAAACTATCTTCAGTAGCTCTTCTCTCAAATCCTTAGTGATGTTAGTATCCGTGTGGGTAGTCCTTTAGATACCCTGTTCTCCCAGTTCCCTGGCCTCCTCTTCCACTGAGCTTGTCCTCCACCTCATCACAGCCACTCATTCACATAGTTGTAGCTAGACCTATCCTTCCTTACCCTCGTGCCAGCTCTTCAGTCTCATTTCAGGCATCTGACTCTGACCACCACCTCCTCTTTCCAGTTCACTCCCTCTCATACCTCACTCCATCATTTCTTCAACTTCGCCAGACCTATGGTCTGTTGATATTCCCATCTGTTCAGAGTCCCACACCTCTTCCTAGCTTCCAGTCTACCTTTCTGGTCGTTGTAGCAAAATTTCTCAGTAAAGAGAAGACTTGGTTCTCTTCACTGTCTCTAATTTCTTTCCTCCCATATGAAACCCACTCCAGTCATGCTTTCCCTATTATGACTCCACCAAAACTGCTATTGCCAAGGTCCAGTGACTTTCTGAATCCAGGGATCAATTTTCAGCCCTTGCTATACCCTATAAGCCTTTGACAGAATTGATCACTCCCACTTCCTGAGTAGCCTTTGTTCACATCGCTTTCAGGACTCTTTGGGTTTTCTTTCTACCTCGGTGGTCACTTCTTACTCAGCTTCTTCACTCAGGGGCCAGTAGGCATCTCAAAATATAACATCAAAAACTAAACCTTTTTTTTTTTTAGTAGAGTCAGGGTCTCACTGTGCTGTCCAGGCTAGTCTCTAACTCCTGACCTCAAGCAGTCCTCCAGCCTAGGCCTCTCGAAGTGCTGGGATTACAGCATGAGCCACCATGCCCACCCTAAAACCAAACTTGATCTTACCTGCAGATCTTACACATTCCTCTTTATCTCAGTAAAAATCTCCTCCAGTCTTCCATTTGCTCAGATGAAAAATCTTGGAGTTTTCTTGTTCCTCTTTCTCAAAGCTCATGTCCAGTATTAGCAAATTATGTTGGTTTTATGTCAGTATATATCTAGAATTCAACCACTTCTCATCACCTCCACTATTACCACCTACATCAAAATCATCATCTCTTGCCTGGATGTCACCTCATGGGTCCCCTGCTTCCATCCTTGCCTCTGCCACTCCCAGTCTTTTCTCAACCCAGCAGCCAATATGATCCTTACAGTTAAAATTTAAGTCAGTTTGTAAGTTAAATCATGTCACTTGGTAAAACCCAAAGTCCCCCAAATCAGTTCTGAGGCTCATACTCATCTAGGGATAGAAGTAAATCCCGTGTTAGCATCAGTTAATACCTGTGCTTGTACTTAAATCTTATTTTTCTTGTTTTCAGTAAATTATAGTGACATCTTTTGGATTAAATTGTTACCTTTACAATTGATATTGACATTTCTCAAGACACCAAAAGATTATATGAGATTTTTTTCTCAAGAATTGCAAAAATCTGTGGTGCAGCTTGACATTTTTATATTCATTTTTTGCTAAACACATTGTGTATTAGATCTAAAGAGTGTCCTTTGTCATGATTCAAGGTTTTTATGAAAGAGACATTTTGCTGTAAATCTGTACTGCCCGAGAAGAAATTGTATCCCTCTTTTCCCTTATGACTATCCTATTCTTTCCAAACCAAAAACCACAAGTTAATAAAATTGAATTTGGACCTCTTTCCTTGAATGCCTATTACAAGCCAAGCACTGTCCTTGACATTATCTCCTTTAATTTCCGTAAACAATTCTGTTATGTAGCCTCACTTTTGAGGTTGGGAACAGAGGCTCTGGGAGATTAAGTACCTATTCTATTCAAGGTCACACAAGTAAGTGATGAAGCTGGGGTTGAATCCAGGTATGACTCTTGATATACACCCTGCCTGACCAAAGTGACTGTTTAACTGGTTTTGTAAGTTAATTTGTCACTGGTAAAACATTGAACACCTACTGGTTCCTTAGATGTAATGGGCATAGACAAGGAAGAAATTCAGTGTTTAAATCAGTTAAGAAAGCTGTGATTCTAGGCCCTACTAACTACAAAGCTTTCAATATTCTTTTATTTTTTCCACTTAGTGACAAATTATTCTTTAAAAATCTTGCCATTGGCCTCTGCCTCTTCAACTTACACTAATAGTTCTTTTTTTTTTTTTTGAGACAGAGTCTCGCTCTGTCGCCCAGGCTGGAGTGCAGTGGCACGATCTCCGCTCACTGCAAGCTCTGCCTCCCAGGTTCACACCATTCTCCTGCCTCAGCCTCCCAAGTAGCTGGGACTACAGGCACCCGCCACCACACCCGGCTAATTTTTTGTATTTTTAGTAGAGACGGGGTTTCACCGTGTTAGCCAGGATGGTCTCGATCTCCTGACCTGGTGATCCACCCACCTCGGCCTCCCAAAGTGCTGGGATCACAGGTGTGAGCCATCGCACCCGGCCAACTTACACTAATAGTTCTAAAATGAAGCCATGTCTATAAATTGTTAACACTTGAGGCAGAGAGGAAGTGAGGGATTGAGTAACAGAACTTTAAAAATCATTCTAAAAATTCTACATGTTCACATTTAATTGCTCAAGTCTCTGTGATGTGATTTGACAACAAGCTGTCTTACAATCATGTGTTTGTCTTTACAGTGATCCTGCCATGAAGCAGTTTCTGCTGTACTTGGATGAGTCCAATGCCCTGGGGAAGAAGTTCATCATTCAAGACATTGATGACACTCACGTCTTTGTAATAGCAGAATTGGTTAATGTCCTCCAGGAGCGAGTGGGTGAATTAATGGACCAAAATGCTTTTTCCCTTACCCAGAAATGAAAATACTCAATATGGACCATTTAGGAATTATAAGCAGCAACTGTGAAAGACTTGCCACTCAATATCTTAGGTGACTGATTAGACATAGAGGGTTGTTTTAGGAGCATGCCACGGGAAAGACTGAGGGATCATGATCATTTGTTCAGAAAAAAAGCCCCTGAACTGATTTTGTTACCATAGAATTTAAAAAAAAAAAAAGCTTTAACAGTTGGCTGTAATTTGGCTTTTATTATCCTTTATTAAAATACAAATGTCAATGCTTTTCCTGCCTTTTTAATACCATGTCAGTGTAACATAGGTATTTATTTTGCTCATCCCTGTGATCTGTGCATTTTTGCTGCGTGGATGTGATTGTTTGGTTTCAGTTAGAAACGTCATAGATTTGCTGTTTGAATATGCCAAGGTGGGGACTTAGACATTATGTACGTCTCACAAATCCTACCTGCATACCAGTCAGCTCTATTGAGGAAGACAATGTAAAACTAATGTAAACTACAGTTTGCATTTCCCTGAAAACAGAATATTGTTTTTAAGAGGGTTAGAAACAACCAGTGGGAAAGGCACATGCTGCTTTGTTTAGTTTTTCCTTGTTCAAACTTTGTTGGTCACATTTTCCCATCTGTATTCTTTTTTATTAAGAAAACAGCTTAGGGAGGCTGAGGTGGGAGGATTGCTTGAGCCCAGGAGTCCGAGGTTGCTACAAAAACACCATTGCACTCTGGCCTGGACAACAGAGAGACCCTGCCTCAAAAAAAAAAAAAAAAAAAAAAAAAATTCTACTTGTACCTTATTCCCTATGAGAATACTTATCAAACTTATCTAAAAAAGAAAAATAGGAACAGCCATATGCAAAGTCAGCCCAACAGGAAAGGACATATTAGATTAAAATACATTGCGGCCTGGGCTTAGTGGCTCACACCTGTAATCCCAGCACTTTGGGAGGCTGAGGCAGGCAGATCGCTTGAGTCCAGGAGTCGAAACCCTGTCTCTACAAAAAAAAAAATACAAAAATCTGCCTGTTGTCCCAGCCACTGGGGAGGCTGAGGTAGGAGGTCAAGGCTGCAGTGAACCTTGATCATTGCTACTGCCACTCCAGCCTAGGTGACAGAGTGAGACCCTGTCTCCAAAAAAAAAAGTGTATATGTATGTGTGTATATATAGCAAGAGAGAGTTCTGTGATCAATTGAAGGCAAAAACAGTAACACTGAGAGGGGCTTTGCTTCCCTTCCTGAAGATCATGTCATTGGGGTGGGTTCCTGTAAAGGGAATTTTCCAAGAGAAAAGAGAATTTTCATGACCTGTAGACTCTTACAAATCCATTTTACCTGCTTCCTTATGGTATGTTTATTCAAAGCACCTGTGTACCATATTTATTCACTTACACAGCATTACTGAATCTGGAAATTTTCAGTTAGGTATATTTTACATAATTCCCACCCATATAACTCAGTCCATACAGTTCACAGTTTTCATTCCCTCATAGCAATGCAAAAAATTTTGATGAGTTACTACTACTAAAACTAGTTAAGTAAAAGATGATTCTTAAGAATTTCCAGGCTGGGCACGGTGGCTCACGCCTGTAATCCCAGCACTTTGGGAGGCTGAGGCAGGCAGCTCACGAGGTCAGGAGATCGAGACCATCCTGCTCGGTGAAACCCCATCTCTATTAAAAATACAAAAAATTAGCCGGGCCTGGTGGCGGGTGCCTGTAGTCCCATCTACTCAGGAGGCTGAGGCAGGAGAATGGCGTGAACCCGGGAGGCGGAGCTTGCAGTAAGCTGAGATTGTGCCACTGCACTCCAGCCTGGGCGACAGAGGGAGACTCCATCTCAAAAAAAAAAAAAAAAAAAAATGAATTTCCAGCTATACCAAAATGTTACTAATGTATCTTATATTTCAGGCATGTCTAAATCAACTTTTAGTATGCCTCAGGCATTTGTCACCAACCTTTTATATTAACATGAAACTTAGAAAATTTTTGATAGAATCCCAGAGTTCAAAAGGTATTAGGATTTTTGCCACTGAAGTAAAAAAGAGAAAAAAAGATATTTATGAGAAAACTATTGAACAGTGACTGTGTTGTACCCGAGCAAGTTAGAGGAACGCCACACTTTGAGACGAATTTAAAAGTCCTTTATTTAGCTGGCAGCCAAGAGGTGGCTCACACTTGGAATTCTCTCAGCTCCGAGGAAGGGGCTTGATTTTCCTTTATACTTTGGTTTAGGAAGGGGACGGGAGCTCAGTTGCAACAATTCTACAGAAGTAAAAACATGCAAAAAATTAAAAAGACAAATGGTTACAGAGAAACAAACAGTTCCAGGTGCAGGGGCTCTAAATCTATCATAAGATGTCAGGTGTGGGGGCTCTGCCAGACACAAACTCAAGGCTTTATGGTGTATCTCTTGAGCGAAATCCTGGGAACTTCGTACATTGCTTGCTTCAGTACCTTATGAGTTAATTGGACTCTTTGATATGTTGAGAGTCAGCTTACACAAGTTAACTCCTTGAGGAAAGGGGGTGGGTAAGGAGTCCTTGATGTCCTGTAAATGAAGGAACCAAATGGAGTTCCTCCGGCTTTCTCAGCTAAGGGAGAGCTTATTCACATGGAAACAAGGCTAGGTGATTAAGGGAGAAAGGGACAGTCTGAAAACAAGGTTAGTAAAAACAAGGTTAGGTATTAGAACTGCAAAGAGTATTAAGTGAAATAAGTGAAGGAAAATATGAGCTCTTATTTTTAAAAAGTTGTGTTGGGGCAAATGTTAAATATCTTTCTTTCTCTGGACATTATTAAGAAAGATAGAGTGATGTGAATGATAGGAAGCCCACCTGTAACCACTTAGCTGACATGTCCAACTATGGGTGAACAGGAAATAAGCGACATTCACCTAGGCTGTTTATTGGAATCTGACTAGCATTATTTGATTTGGCATACTTTACATGTCCAGAACAAGGCTGTTGGTGCTTGGCACCAAGAAATTTATGACTTTTTTTTTTTTTTTAAATAAAGTCCTAAAGGTAGCATTAAAATGACTTAACTGGAGGCAGGAGGATCACTGAAGCCCAGGAGTTTGAAGCTGCAGTAAGCTAAGAAGGTGCCACTGCACTGCAGCCTGGATGACAGAGTGAAACTTTGTCTCTTAATAGAACTATGGACTGAAGTTGTGATATTGAGTGTTATATTTCTCAATAAAGGTTTTTTCTTTTAATACTGTATTAGGTCAAATTCAAGGTCTTAATTCCTTGAATTCCAATTTCCTTGTGAAATTTCATGTGATTAATTTAAAATTCCAGGGATCCTATCTAACATCACAGTTGATGGATATAACAATGTATTTTGAGAAATCAGTTTTGGTGAACAGTAACAGCATTACTGATAATAGGCAACAAACACTACTGCATTTTATTTCTGATAGGCATTATAGGTGGTAATCCAAATGATTAATGATTTTATTGCTCTTTACATTTTCTAGAACAGGTGATTTGACATAATTGTACTTTTTTCTGAGAAGTTGGTAGTGTACTTACTACTCTATTTTGCAGTTATACAATAAATCTTACTTAGCTGACAACTAGGAGTAAAAGCTCTGACAAAAAGCCTCTGCTGTAACTAAAATACTGAGATCATTCTATCTTAACAAACTTAACAGATGGGGAAGGGGTATATTTTAAAGATGGAGAAATGATGCAGTTTGCAAATATAGTCAATAAATATTCTCAAGTGTACGTAGCTCAATTTCATTTGCAGCAAAGATAACACTGAAATGTCTATGGATGAGATTATTGGATAAACTTTTTTAAAAACACTGTTCTCAAGATAGGCAAGTGATTAAGAGCACTGACTGGGCCGGGCGCGGTGGCTCACGTCTATAATCCTAGCACTTTGGGAGGCCGAGGCGGGCAAATCACAAGGTCAGGAGATCAAAACAATCCTGGCTAACAAGGTGAAACCCCGTCTCTACTAAAAATACAAAAAAATTAGCTGGGCATGGTGGTGGACGCCTGTAGTCCCAGCTACTCGGGAGGCTGAGGCAGGAGAATGGTGTAATCCCGGGAGGTGGAGGTTGCAGTGAGCCGAGATCGTGCCACTGCACTCCAGCCGGGGTGACAGAGCGAGACTCCCACCCATCTCAAAAAAAATAAAAATGAAAAGCACTGATTGAATCTAGATTCCTTGAGTCCAAGTGTCAGATCTCTGCTTACTAGCTCTGGGATCTCAGATGTTTCGTTGATTGGATTTCTTTGTGCTCATTTGTGTAAACAGGAATGCCCGTCTTTAAAGACTATTAAAATGAATGTGAGTTAACACACAAGAGGTCTTCAAAAAGTTGATGGAAAATGCATATTATGAAAAAAATTATGCATAGATTTCAAAAATCTTTGCAGCAAAATAAACTCATCATTATAACATGTCTGAACAGGATCTAGTTTGAGGCACTAAGAAGGATATCAGTTTAAATAGAGCCCCTGTCAGAACAATATGAATTCTGCTAAAACTGAAGCAAGAACAAACATCAAATTTATGGCAAAGCTTAGGTGGAAGAATGGTGCAATCATTGATGCTTTGCAAAAAGTTTATGGGAACAACGCCCCAAGGAAATCAGTTTACAAATGGATAATTCATTTTAAGAAAGGACAAGACAATGTTGAAGATGAAACCTACAGCAGCAGACCATGCCACTTCGTGAGGAAAAAATTATCTCATTCATGCCCTACTTGAAGAGGACCAATGATTAACAGCAGAAACGATAGCCAACACAATATGCTCCTCAGTTGGTTCAGCTTTTATAAATCTGACTGAAAAATTAAAGTTGAGCACACTTTCCACTCAATGGATACCAAAACCATCCAGCCCAGGTCAGCTGCAGACAAAAGCAGAGCTTTCGATGGAAATGTCAAACAAGTGAGATCAAGATCCTGAAGCATTTCTTCAAAGAATTGTAGCAAAAACAGACTTTTAAAACCTTGAATTCAGAGACAGGTATAAAGACTGCTTGGTGATTTTGAAAGGACTGAGATCATTTTGGGAGAGATCATCTTCAGAAAATGACCAGATACAACAAGAATTTAACATGGCAGCCAAACCAACCCACTAACACACATTTAAATAAGATACCCAAATGCAGAAAGAAAAGCACAGTCGTCATGCAAAATAGTCACTACTCATTCAAAAACTCTATAGTTGTCTGAGTCGTTATGCTCAAAATATCCAATAATATTTCTTTTGCTGAGCTGTAAAATAATTATTTTGCAAACATAAAAGAAAAAAAAAAGAATTGTAACAGAAACATGGCTTTACCAGTATGACCCTCAAGACAAAATACAAAACAATGGCTACCAAGAGGTGGAAGTGGCCCAGTCACAGCAAGAGCAGATTGATCAAGAGCAAAGGTCATGGTAACAGTTTTTTGGATCCTCAAGTCATTTTGCTTGTTGACTTTTTGGAGGGCCAAATAAAGATATCATCTGCTTATTATGAGAGTGTTTCGAGAGAAATCCAAAGCTTAGCAGAGAAACGCCTGGGAAAGCTTCACCAGAGGGTCTTCCACCGTGACAGTTCCCCTGCGCATTCCTCTCATAAAGCAAGGGCAGTTTAGCTAGAATTTCTATCAAAAATCATTAGGTATCCATCTCCCAGTCCTGATTTGGCTCCTTCTGACTTCTTTTTGTTTCCCAATCTTAAAAAAATCCCTGAAGGGCACCTGTTTTTCTTCAGCTAATAAAAAAGACATGGTTAATTTCCCAGGACCCTCAGTTCTTTAGGGATAGACTGAATGGCTGGTATCATTGCTTGAACTTAATGGAGCTTATGTTGAGAAATAAAAGAAATTATATTTTATTTTTATCTTTTAATTCTATTTTTCCATGAACTTTTTGAAGTCCCCTCAGATATAAAGCAGAACGTTATGAAACTGAGTTACCTTGAATCTAGAAGAGTACAATGATAAAGGGGAAGATAGAAACACACACATATGCGTTGTTTTCCCCACTTTCACAATGCCGTGCAGAAACTAACAGATGAAGGAGGAGAATCCCTAAAAACAGAGCATTGGGTAGCTAGTCCACCAGCGGTCTGATGCTTTCATTGATCTCAAAACTGTCTCTGAGTAACTCTACCAGGAAAGTTGTCTGGAGGGTTAACATTTCTGAAACCATTTTTATCTTTGCCTTCATTCTTGAATGATAATTAGTCTCGAATGTTTGGATCACAATCCATTGAAAGACTAGGCTATTTTTTCACTGTCCTCAGACATTTACTGAGTCCAGTTTGGACTTTATTTTATTTTATTTTTTTTGAAACAAGATCTCGCTCTGTTGCTCAGGCTGAAGTGCAATAGCGCAAACTCGGCTCACTGCAACCTCCCAGGTTCAAGCAATTCTCGTGCCTCAGCCATCCCTATAGGCATGCGCCACCACACTTTGCTAATCTTGTATTTTTGGTAGAGACGGGGTTTGCACCATGTTGGCCAGGCTGGTCTCGAACTCCCAACCTCAAGTAATCTGGCCTCCCAAAGTGGTGGGATTACAGGCGTGAGCCAGCGCGCCCGGCCTGGACTTAACTTCTGAAGAACTCTTTCTGTTTAGATTGCAGGAGCGTTCTCTCGGCTCATCTCTTGTTTTCTCACCCAGCTGTTCTTCTTCTAGTTGGCCATCATTCTTCATCCCTCCCTCCCTTTCCTGCAGTTAATTATTTCTTTGAAATTTTAAAACTTCTTAATGTTGCCTGGAATACATGAGTCTTCCTGATCTCTTCAAACGGGGTTTGTTTTGTTTTGCTTTGGGGAGAATTCTTTTGACGTTTTTGAATAAGCTGTTAACAACTTTAATACCTGTCTTGTTTGTTTTCTTCAGAAATTTGTTAATTCTCCATGATTAGCACCTTTATGTGGTTATCTCATTATTTTCATTCCTTTTTAATTCTCTGTTTTAGGAATGCTTGTCAAATTCGTCACTAAAATTGATTTACTTTCTTGAAAACCTGTTTCTGCTGCTCCCAACATGATTTAATCTTGGCTACTGAGCTTTTGGTTACGTTGCACTCCCTTTAAAATTACTCCGTTTAAGTACAGTGTTCACTCTTTGGGTAATGTGTACAATAGAAGCCCAATCCCCACCTATACCCAATATATCCATGGGACAAGCATGTACATGCACCCCCTGAGTCTAAAATAAAAATTTTAAAAAAACTATATCTGTCACAGCCTGTTTTTATTTTTAATTGAAGTTCTCTTTTTATGAGCGATACACATTCATTGCAGGCAGATTGAAAAAGGGAAACAAAAGAAAATACAACTCAACCATAATCCCACCACTCAGGAGTAGCCACAATTAAAATGTTAATAACAGGCTGGGTATGATGGTTCACACCTGTAATCCTAGCACTTTGGGAGGCCAAGGCAGGAGGATCCCTTGAGCTTAGGAGTTCCAGAACAGCTTGGGTAACATAGACCTTGTCTCCACTAAAAAAATCAAAAAAATTAGGCCAGGCGTGGTCTCACACCTGTAATCCCAGAACTTTGGGAGCCCAAGGCGGGTGGATACTTGAGGCCAGAAGTTCGAAACCCACCTGGCCAACATTGCGAAACCCCATCTCTACTAAAAATACGAAAGTTAGCCAGATGTGGTGGTGTGCACACACAGCTACTGGGGAAGCTGAGGCATGAGAATCGCTTGAACCCAAGAGGCAGAGGTTGCAGTGGGCTAAGATGGCACCACTGCACTCCACCCTGGATGACAGAGCATGACTCTGCCTCAAAAAAAAAAAAAAAAAAAAAAGACCGGCATGATGATGCATGCCTGTAGTCCCAGCTACTGGGGCTGGGGGAGGTGCTGAGGCAGGAAGATCGCTTGAGCACGAGGTCAAGGCTGTAGTGAGCCGTGATTGCACCACTGCACTTCAGCCTGGGCAACAAAGTGAGACCCTGTGTCAAAAAACATTTTTTTTTTAGACGGAGTCTTGCTGTCTCCCAGGCTGGAGTGCAGTGGCACGATCTTGGCTCACTGCAAGCTCCGCCTCCCGGGTTCACGCCATTCTCCTGCCTCAGCCTCCCAAGTAGCTGGGACTACAGGCACCCACCACCACACCCGGCTAGTTTTTTGTATTTTTAGTAGAGACGGGGTTTCACCGTGTTAGCCAGGATGGTCTCGATCTCCTTACCTCATGATCCACCCGCCTTGGCCTCCCAAAGTGCTGGGATTACAGGCGTGAGGCACCACGCCCAGCCTCAAAAAAAATTTTAAAAGCTAATGACAATCTTCACTTTTTTAAAGAATATAAAAAGAGTTTTGGCTGGGCGTGGTGGCTCACGCCTGTAATCCCAGCACTTTGGGAGGCCAAGGCAGGCAGATCACGAGGTCAGGAGATCGAGACCATCTTGGCTGACACGGCGAAACCCCGTCTCTACTAAAAATACAAAAAACTAGCCGGGCGTGGTGGCGGGCACCTGTAGTCTCAGCTACTTGGGAGGCTGAGATAGGAGAATGGCATGAACCCGGGAGGCAGAGCTTGCAGTATGCAGAGATCACGCCACTGCACTCCAACCCGGGCAACAGAGCAAGACTGTCTCAAAAAAAAAAAAAAAAAAAAAGAGTTCTACTCCCTATCCCAATGAGATCACACTGCTTTGACACTTGCCTTTTCCCTTAATTTTTCATGCTCCTTTATGAAAAACCTGAAGCAGGATTTCTATTTCAGAGGAAAGTTTTTTTTTCTGATTTTAGATGGGGAGCTTTCTAAAAATGTTGATGCCTGGCCTCAGCCCCCAGTCATTCAAATTTAGTTGTTCTGGGATATGACCCAAGCGTCAGCATCTTTAAAAGGCCTGCCTGGTGCTTCTGCTGTGCATTCAGAGCTGAGAACTCCTGGGCCGGTGTGTGCACAATGGAGACTCTGGGTAGGAGGTTTTGTTTTTGGGTTTCGTTCGGTTTCCAGTAGGCTAATCTACCAGCACAGCTGTTTCCTTTTACTGCCAAGGAAATGCTGAGTCTGCCCAGCAAGGAACCAGCTTTTGTTAAAATTCACTAATTAGATAACTGATTCCCCAAGTCGTTGCAGGATCTTATTTATTGACAGTAGCTAGCTTGAGTTGGATCCTTTGGTTAGACGGAGGAAAGTCATTGCAGCACTCATAATTGGTTAAGTTTTTTTTTTTTAAACATAAATTCACTAAGATATTTTAGTCTTGTGTTTATTTACTGTTTACCATGCTTTTGTGTGTGTGTGTGTGTGTGTGTGTGTGTGTGTGTGTGTGTGTGTGAAACAAACTCTTAAGCTATGTCAGCATATCCTTTCTCAGGCAGAGTCTTTCGGAGGTAGATGTCTAATTCAGTATTAACTGGTTTACCTAGCTCTCATCACTCCTCCGGCTCCCTCAAGCCCTCAGTAACATCTGCACTTACATAAGGTATTTGGATGTGTGACTTATATTTTATTAAATTAAGGACAGAAGTTGAGTTTGACACACAAAAACAGGGAGAGCAGAGGCAGGTCCGTGAGAGATAAACAAACACAACTAATTTAGTGACATGAAGAATTCACAGAAATCTTGGAAGGTTTTGAACTTCTGTGGACATGGAATGGAAGGGTTAGTCTTATGTCAGTTTTATCAAACACATTAAATCTGCCGGGCGCGGTGGCTCATGCCTATAATCCCAGCACTTCGGGGGGCCAAGGCGGGTGGATCACGAGGTCAGGGGTTCGAGACCAGCCTGACCAACATGGTGAAACCCCGTCTCTACTAAAAATACAAAAAAATTAGCTGGGCGTGGTAGCGGGCACCTGTAATCCCAGCTACTCAGGAGGCTGAGGCAGGAGAATTGCTTGAACCCGGGAGGCGGAGGTTGCAGTGAGCCGAGATCGTGCCACTGCACTCCAGCCTGGGCAACAGAGAAAAAAACAAACAAAAAAAAACACATTAAATCAGGTGCTATTTGCAGCTGTAATTTGTAACTATTGCACTTTGGATATGGTAGTAGAAGCTACCATGTCTAAAAGTAAATGTTCTATGAGTGTTTAAACCTCTAACTATGACTATACTGGGCAATTGGTCCAAAAGCCACTCTGAAAATTTTCCAGCATAAAGTTGTTATGGTCTTGACTGAGGCAGATATGCCTTTGAGGGCTTCTTAGTCTATATCAGTGCTTTTCAACTTTAAAGTACTTACAAATCATCTGGAAGTCCTTAGAATGCAGATTCCGATTAAGTGGGTGTGGGCTGGGGCCTGAGATTCTGCATTTCTAGAAGGCTTCCAGGGGATGGCAGTGCTGCTGTCTGGCAGGTCACATTTTGAGTAGCTAAGCTCAAACACCCAAAGTGATGGTGTCATAGAGAAATAGAAGTTAAAGAAAAATGTTTAGGCCGGACGCAGTGGCTCAACCCTGTAATCCCAGCATTTTGGGAGGCCAAGGCAGGGGATCACCCGAGCTCAGGAGCTCAAGACCAGCCTGGGCAACATGGCGAAACCCCATCTCTACTAAAAATACAAAAAATTAGCCAGGCGTTGTGGTGCATGCTTGTAATCCCAGTTACTCAGGAGGCTGAGACAGGAGAATCACTTGAATCTGGGAGGCGGAGATTGCAGTGAGCCGAGATCATGCCACTGCACTCCAGCCTGGGTAACAGAGTGAGACTCTGTCTCCAAAAAACAAAAAAAAAGAAAAAGAAAAATGTTTAATGAGGCAGAGACCATGACCATATGGATAGATAATATTCTATATGTGTTATATGTATCCGTCTCCCAAAGTTTTAAGTGGAACAAAACTGACAGTAGATTCCCTTTAAAAGATAAAAGATTCATTATCATCAATATCTTTCTCCTCATGATGATTAAGTATTCGATTGTCAAGTTTCTTGAACTGATTGCTTTATGGCATATATACTGTCTCCTTCCCCAAACCCAAAACCGTTTTTTTGAAAGGGATAATAAGTATTGCATAAATACACCAATTGATCTATCAATTGATCATTTGATTGTTAGTTAAGAAGAAAAGATATACAATAAATTCTCTTGACAGGCTTGTTCCTGCAAGTGTCTAGAAATTATTAAAATCTTCAGGTCACAAAAACTTAAATTTAATCTCCAAATTTAATTTAATCCCAAGTACTTGGCAAAGTTAACTGTCCTTAATAACAAATATTCACACCAGATGTTTTAGAACCTTATACTTGATAAAATGTTCTAGGCCGGGCACGGTGGTTCACGCCTGTAATCCCAGCACTTTGGGAGGCTGAGGTGGGCAGATCACCTGAGGTCAGGAGTTCAAGACCAGCCTGGGCAACATGGCGAAACCCCATCTCCACTAAAAATACAAAAATTAGCCGGGCATGGTGGCAAGCACCTGTAATCCCAGCTACTTGGGAGGCTGAGGCAGGAGAATCGCTTAAACCAGGGAGGCAGACGTTGTGGTGAGCCGATACTGCACCACTGCACTTCAGCCTGGGTGACACAGTAAGACTCTGTCTCAGTAAATAAATAAATAAATAAATAAATAAATAAACATTCTAATACTTCACAAGTGGTAATGTTTTAGGAGATATACTCTCTCTGCTAAATTGATATTAATATATTGGGTTAAACTTCTGTATTGGAAATTCTAAAATGAACATAAAATATTGGCAGAAGCCAGAAAGGAACATTATTGATTGACAATTAAGCAGGCACAGCCGAAAATATTAATCAACACAGCAAGAAAGACAGGCATAGGATTTGAAACGTGATGACCTGAGCAGTTCACATTTTCTGAATCGTATCCTCAGGAGGAATTAATGCAGAGGGAGTAATCTGAGGAAGAGTAATGAGAAGGAAATACGACTGCTTTGTAGATTGTAATGATTTCTGTTTCCTTAAAACCCAGATTCAGTCCAATGGGGTACTTAACAGAGCTCCAAAGAAAAATAGAAGTTTATTCTGCTTGGTGATTCTTTTTCTGCCATCCCCAAATCATAGAGTATGTTATTTGCTCATGTGACACTTCCGTTTGGGAAGAACAAAAGCAGCTGAACACATTAACTCTTCAAACAAGTTTTTTAAAAATAATATTAGTTCTAACAGCTGATCTTGAGATCTACACATTGCCAGGTGGCCAAGCCCTGTGGAAGGGATTCCAAATGCACCAGAAGTTAGCCAGGTGAGGTGATGTTGAAATCATTTTGCCTTAAAGGAGGGGAGGGCCAGGTCTCTCTCTTGGGTCTCCAGGAGAACAGCTGTCCATAGGAAGCCTCAGCACTCCCAAAGCCCACAAACTCCATGGCCTCAAGTGATGATCAAAGGTCTTCCCCGTCCCCTCTGCATCTTCCTCTCTTCTTATGAAACCAAGAGCCTCAGAATCACCACAGTTGAGGCCTCTTCTTCCCTGGAAAGCCAAATTTTGGGCTGCCAGGCTAGAGTGTTCTAGAACGTCCCTCCGTGAGTCCACAATCCACTCGGAGGAGCAGTGACCCCGTGAAGGAAGTACCCTTTTCTTCCACTAACCAGGTTTCTCTGGGGAGTCCCCAACTTCTTTTCTGCCACTGCCAGAGGAGTCTGGAGGCTCCAGAGACCTGAGAAACCAAGAGGGTTTCCAGACCAGCAGCACTGGCCCCAACCTGGGAGCGCATTCCTAACTTAACTGAATCAGAATCTGCATCTTACCGGGTTTCCCAGAGGAGTCGGATGCACATTAAATCTGGCCATGAGGGAGCCACTGTGGGGCAAGGGGGAGGATTTGAAAGCTGACTCCAGGAACCACAGAAATGGCAAGTTAAGGCGTCAGATGAGGGTCTCCCCGGCACTCATTATCTAGCTGTCAATCCACCTAGCACCTCACAAACACTGACCTAAAACTCCTTTCTACTTCCACCCCCGTTCCGGGGAGAAACTTGGGGATTAAAGACAAGGTCTGGCATTAATGTGAAGAAGCTTTAGGATGCCAACCGGGGGCAAATGCGCCTTTAGCAAAATAAAGCCAGGCTCATTACTTCACAAGAAATAGGGCCAAAGTTACATTAGTAAAAGCAATATAAATTCCATGATGCCCCACCTTACCGAGGGGAAGCACCCACCTGCCACATACAGTGTCTTTGTGTGACTTAGAAAAAGGTGGCAGAAGCCGGCTTTGCTACTGGACAGCACGTTTAGGTGAAGGAAGAGGTGCCCCTCTTCCACATGGTTCCAGCCCCCATGCACCCTGTCAGCAGGATACCTTGGGTACAGCCCTAAGCTGTGACCTGGAAACCCACAGAACAGAAAAGACATGTGACCAGAGAGCAGGGCGGCCAACACCTGTGCGCCAGGTCACTCAGGGTCCCTCCAGCTATGTCAGTCAAGAAAACAGCGTCATCTGCTGGTCTTATCCAGCATGGTAACAGAATTTATTCGAATCTATTGACAATGCCCACTTCTTATTTTTAAATGTTAATTTTCTCCTTACAAAAAGAATATCATCATATTACAGAAAAATAAGAAAAACGTCAGCCACAACCTCACTACCCTAATCTAATGCAAATTAGCATTTTGGTGTATTTCCTCCAAATCTCCTCAGGTGAGCGCTGCTGCTCTGTGGACATCTCCTGGCCCAGTGACACATTCCAGGCCCTGCGTGTAGGGAAGATGAGCACATTCTAGAAACTCATGTCAGAACCGGCCTTCAGTCCCCCTGCACAGTGATATGAGCTCTCCCTCCTGGTTCCCATCCCTTCCCCGTGCAGCTGTCTTCCCATTGTCTCTGATCTTGAGTTTGGTGATCTGTTGGTCAGCACCTTAGGCCCCCTCCTGACTTGTGATGCCCACTCCTTCTCTCCCCACCCCCTCGTTGCCAATTTGCTTGCTCCTCCGTAGCTCAGGGCCTCTTTAGGCAGTTGGCCTGGGGAAAGCTCCCACTTGGCTCAGTCCAGAGCCCAGCTAACTATGATCTCTACGTTGACCAAATGGTATAGTCCAGAACCATTTCCTTCCCGCCTTGAACCCAGCGGATGGAATTTGGGTCCTTTTCCTATATGCATATATCATCTTACTTGATTGCTGTCTGCCTTGACCCTACGCCTTAAGTCATTTCAGCTATAGGGCCTCCCGAGATCAACAGAGTTCACAGCAAGTACCCAAACCCTCCTTTCTGTTTGTACTCATTTGGCCTTTAATGCACCACCAATCCTCTTTTGAAAAATCTTATTGTGGCTTTTTGAATATTAAAAAAATCTTCAAACAAGTTTTTAAAATATCATATTAGTTCTAACAGCTGATCTTGAGATCCACACATCGCCAGATGGACAAGCCCTGCAGGAGGGATTCCAAATGCACAAGAAGTTAGCCAGCTGAGATTATTTTGAATCTGAGTAACCTGAGTTGTGCCTAGTTTCTCTGACTTCTGACTTTCTGCTCTGGAAGGGTTTCTTCTTTTCTTTTCTTTTCTTTTCTTTTCTTTTCTTTTCTTTTCTTTTCTTTTTTTGAGATGGTGAGACGGAGTCTTGCTCTGTCGCCCAGTCTGGAGTGCAATGCCGCCATCTCAGCTCACTGCAACCTCCACCTCCCAGGTTCAAGTGATTCTTGTGCCTCAGCCTCCCAAGTAGCTGGGATTACAGGCACCCGCCACCATGCCCAGCTAATTTTTTTTTATTTTAGTAGAGATGAGGTTTCACCATGTTGGCCAGGCTGGTCTCAAACTCCTGACCTCCAGTGATCCTCCTGCCTCAGCCTCCCAAAGTGCTGGGATTACAGGCATGAACCACCACGCCCAGCCTGGAAGGGTTTTGGTTTGGATTCAAGTTAGTCAAGTTCTTTGCTCTGTCTGCCCTTGACAATTCCCAAAGCCGACCTCTTCTCAGCGAGGTCCTGAGGCAATCCTAGAGGAGCATTTGCAATCGAGTAAGCATGCAAATGTGTGTCCTATGGTGTAAAATAAAATGTTTTCCATGTTGCCCGATAATTCTTTAAAATCAAATTTTAATGACTGACGTATCTTTGTAACATGTCATAATTTGCTTAGCCATTTCCCAATTGCTGGAATTGAGGTGGTTTCCAATATTTTGAATACCTAACTAATACAGTGATGAATAACTTGTACCAAAAATTTTGAATTATTTTCCTAAGAAACATTCCTAGATGTAGAGTCACTGGTTTACAGAATTTCAATATTTTTGTGGTCCTTGGTATATATTTCTCAAATTGCTCTCCAAAATGACGGTACCAGCTGAAAATGCCACCAGTGATGTCTAGGCATACTGGTTTCACAGCACATTGCTCAGAATGTCTTCTTTCATCCTTCAACAAACAGGTACTGTCTTAGGGGCTGGTGAGATGAAAACAAAATTCTTGCTGCTGCAGAGCTCAGATTCCAGTGCAGGAAAGAGACAACAACATGGAAAATACCATCACGTAAGTACTTATCAGATGCTACATGAGACAGATGGGAACATCTAATGCTGCCTGAAACTTCACAGAGGAGATGACATTCATACTGAAATTGAAAGAATGAGTGATTCACCAGGCAACAGGAAAAGAGAGGGCTTTCAAGCAGAGACAACAACACGGGCAAAACCAAACAATGGAGGTGAATAGCACGTCATGTTCCAAGAATGGCAAAAAAGCTGTTCAGTTAGGCTTGCAGACAAATAGAGTGTGTTTGGGAGAAGGGCAGGAGAGGAGATCCTGTAGAAGTTTGTACTTTTATGACAAAATGTCTGGATTTCATCCTGTAGGCAATGGGAAGCCACGGAAGCATTTTAAGCAAAATAATTTCATGATTTGCCTTCATTTACCCCTGATTATAGATTCTGATATAGATTTGTTTCTGGTATCTTTTTATAAAAGCAAAAAGCCATTGGCAGGAGTATGAAGAATGAATGGAGTGGAAGTGGACCAGAAGCAGAACTCATTAAGAAGTTGTCTCTGCCAGGTACGGTGGCTCACGCATGTAATCCTAGCACTTTGGGAGGCTGAGGTGGGCAGATCATGAGGTCAGGATTTTGATACCAGCCTGGCCAGCATGGTGTAACCCCATCTCTACTAAAAAATACAAAAATTAGCTGGGCATGGTGGTGTGTGCCTGTAATCCCAGCTACTCAGGAAGCTGAAGCAGGAGAATCACTTGAACCTGGGAGGTGGAGGTTACAGTAAGCCGAGAGAGATCGCACCACTTCACTCCAGCCTGGGAAACAGAGGGAGACTCCTCAAAAAACATTTATTTTCCACAGTTCTAGAGGCTGGGAAATTCAAGATCAGGGTGTCAGCTGGTTTGGTTCCCTGGTGAAGGCTCTCTTCCTGGCTTGCAGCCTTCTCACTATGTTCTCATATGACCTCTTCTTTGTGAGCTCTTCGAAGGAAAAAGAGAGCTTTGGTGTCAAGAGATAAATATCCACATGGCCAATAAGTATCTGAACTGTTGCTCAACATCATTAGTCATTAGAAAAATCCCAGCACTTTGGGAGGCCAAGGTGGGCAGATCACCTGAGGTCAGGAGTTCAAGACCAGCCTGGCCAACATGGTGAAACCCCATCTTTACAAAACAAAAATTAGCTGGGTGCGGTGGCGCAATCCTGTAATCCCAGCTACTTGGGAGGCTGAGGCACGAGAATCACTTGAACCTGGAGGTGCAGTTTGCAGTGAGCCGAGATTGGGCCTCGGCACTCCAACCCGCATGATAGAGCAAGACTCTGTTTAAAAAAAAAAAAAAAGAATTTAGCTAAGTCATAGGATGCTATAGTGATAATGTGTCCGGAATTGGTGGGTTCTTGGTCTCACTGACTTCAAGAATGAAGCCGCAGACCCTCGCGATGAGTGTTACAGCTCTTAAGTTGGTGCGTCTGGAGTTTGTTCCTTCTGATGTTCGGATGTGTCCGGAGTTTCTTCCTTCTGGTGGGTTCGTGGTCTCGCTGGCTCAGGAGTGAAGCTGCAGACCTTCGCGATGAGTGTTACAGCTCTTAAAGCAGCGCGTCTGGAGTTGTTTGTTCCTCCCAGTGGGCTCGTGGTCTCGCTGGCTTCAGGAGTGAAGCTGCAGACCTTCGCGGTGAGTGTTACAGCTCATAAAAGCAGCGTGGACCCAAAGAGTGAGCAGTAGCAAGATTTATTGCAAAGAGCGAAAGAACAAAGCTTCCAGTGTGGAAGGGGACCCGAGTGGGTTGCCACTGCTGGCTCGGGCAGCCTGCTTTTATTCTCTTATCTGGCCCCACTCACATCCTGCTGATTGGCAGAGCTGAGTGGTCTGTTTTGACAGGGCGCTGATTGGTGCGTTTACAATCCCAGAGCTAGACACAAAGGTTCTCCACGTCCCCACCAGATTAGCTAGATACAGAGTGTGGACACAAAGGTTCTCCACGTCTCCACCAGATTAGCTAGATACAGAGTGTGGACACAAAGGTTCTCCAAGGCCCCACCAGAGTAACTAGATACAGAGTGTCCATTGGTGCATTCACAAACCCTGAGCTAGACACAGGGTGCTGACTGGTGTATTTACAAACCTTGAGCTAGACACAGAGTGCCCATTGGTGTATTTACAATCCCTGAGCTAGACGTAAAGGTTCTCCACGTCTCCACCAGACTCAGGAGCCCAGCTGGTTTCACCCAGTGGATCCCCGCACCGGGGCTGCAGGTGGAGCTGCCCGCCAGTCCCGCGCCGTGCGCCCGCACTCCTCAGCCTTTGGGTGGTCGATGGGACTGGGTGCCCTGGAGCAGGAGGCGGCGCTCATCGGGGAGGCTCGGGCTGCACAGGAGCCCATGGAGCGGGTGGGAGGCTCGGGCTGCACAGGAGCCCGTGGAGGGGGTGGGAGGCTCAGGCATGGCGGGCTGCAGGTCCCGAGCCCTGCCTCGCGGGAAGGCAGCTAAGGCCCGGCGAGAAATCGAGCGCAGCGCTGGTGGGCCGGCACTGCTGGGGGACCCAGTACACCCTCCGCAGCCGCTGGCCCGGGTGCTAAGCCCCTCATTGCCCGGGGCCAGCAGGGCCGGCCGGCTGCTCCGAGTGCGGGGCCCGCCAAGCCCACGCCCACTCAGAACTCCAGCTGGCCCGCAAGCGCCGCGCACAGGCCGGGTTCCCGCTCGCGCCTCTTGCTCCACACCTCCCTGCAAGCTGAGGGAGCCGGCTCTGGCCTTGGCCAGCCTAGAAGGGGGCTCCCACAGTGCAGCGGTGGGCTGAAGGGCTCCTCAAGTGCCGCCAAAGTGGGAGCCCAGGCAGAGGAGGCGCCGAGAGCGAGCAAGGGCTGTGAGGACTGCCTGCACTCTGTCACCTCTCAATAATAAATAAAAATCATTTTTCTACATACTAACAATAAAAACATTGATTGGAAAATGAAGTGGTTTTGTTTTGTTTTGATATGGAGTTTTGCTCTTGTTGCTCAGGCTGGAGTGCAATGGCGCAATCTCGGCTCACCCCAACCTCCACCTCCCGGGGTTCAAGCAATCCTCCTGCCTCAGCCTCTCAAGTAGCTGGAATTACAGGCATGCGCCACCACGCCAGGCTAATTTTGTATTTTTAGTTTCTCCATGTTGGTGAGGCTGATCTCGAACTCCTGAACTCAGGAGGTGATCCACCCTCCTCGGCCTCTCAGAGTGCTGGGATTACAGGCATGAGCTACTGTGCCCAGCCTTTCTTGGGTTTTTTTGGTTTTTTTTTTTTTTTTTTTTTTTGAGACAGAGTTTTGCTCTGTCCCCCAGGCTAGAGTGCAGTGGGGCAATCTCAGCTCACTGCAAGCTCTGCTTCCTGGGTTCACGCCATTCTCCTGCCTCATCCTCCCAGAGTAGCTGGGACTACAGGCACCCGCCACCATGCCTGGCTAATTTTTTGTATTTTTAGTAGAGGCAGGGTTTCACCGTGTTAGCCAGGATGGTCTCGAACTCCTGACCTCTTGATCCACCCGCCTGGGCCTCCTAAAGTGCTGGGATTACAGGCGTGAGCCACTGCGCCCAGCCCAGCCTTTCATTTTGTTTTGAGACAGAGTCTCGCTCTGTCACCCAGGCTGGGGTGCAGTGGCACAATCTCGGCTCACTGCAAAATCCGCCTCCCGGGTTCAAGCAGTGTGCCTCAGCCTCCCCGGTAGCTGGGATTACAGGCGCCTGCTAACACATCCCGCTAATTTTTGTATTTTTAGTAGAGACAGGGTTTCATCATGTTGGCCAGGCTGTTCACAAACTCCTGACCTCAGGTGATCCACCCACCTTGGCCTCTGGAAGTGTTGGGATTACAGGCATGAGCCACCATGCCCGACCCTGGAAAATAAAGTTTTAACAATATAATTTCCATAGCATTAAAAATATCACATACCTAGGAAATAGACCCACACATATCTGTTCAGTTGAGTTTTGACAAAAGAGCCAGGCCAAGACCATATGGAAAGGAAAATCTTAAACAGATGTTTGCCTCTCTTTATATATTAAGTTGTGATGGACCCGTGACTTAATGGAAGAGAATATTGTAGAATATCTTTACAGCATTGAGATAGGCATAACTATAAAATTAAAAATTAATAAACTGAATGTAAAGGCTAACATTTCTTCTAATCAGTAGATACCATTTTAAAAAACTGAAGCCACAGATTAGGAAAAATATTTTCAATATGTATATCTGATAAATGACTCATATTCAGAGTATGAAGTACTCCATGAATCAGCAAAAAGTCAATTCAAATTCTAAAATGAGCAAAAACCAAAACAAAAATTATAAAATGACCAACAGACTTCATCATTTAACAAGATTTAACAACATTCAACAAAAGAAAATATTCACATGGCCAAACAGTATGTAAAATGTTGCTCAACATCATTAGAGAAATCCAAGTTAAAATCACAATGCAATTCCATTTTACACTGGCTGGAATGGCTGAAAGCAAAAAGACTGACAGTACCCAGTGTTGAGGAGGATGTGGCGCAGCTGGGACTCACACATTGCTGGTTGTGTGAAGTGGTGCATCCACTTTGGAGAGCTATTTGACTGTTCTTTTTTTTTTTTTTTTTTTTTTTTGAGACGGAGTCTAGCTCTGTTGCTTAGGCTGGAGTGCAGTGGTGCGATCTCAGCTCACTGCAACCTTCACCTCCTGGGTTCAAGCGATTCTCCTGCCTCAGCCTCCCGCATAGCTGGGATTACAGGCGCCTGCCACCACGCCTAGCTAATTTTTGTATTTTTAGTAGAGACGGAGTTTCCCTGTGTTGGCCAGGCTGGTCTCGAACTCCTGACCTCATAATCCACCCGCCTCTGCCTCCCAAAGTGCTGGGATTACAAGCGTGAGCCTCTGCACCTGGCCTGACAGTTTTTATAAAGTTAAATGATCATCTATTCCATGGCCCAACAATTCCTCTCCTAGGTATCACCTCAGGAGAAATGAAAACACATGTTGGCTGGGCATGGTGGCTCACACCTGTAACCCTAGCACTTTGGGAGGCCGAGGTGGGTGGATCCCTTGAGCTCAGGAGTTCAAGACCAGCCTGGGCAAAATGGTAAGACCCTGTCTACAAAAAAAAAAAAAAAAATTAGCTGGGTATGTTGGTGTGCACCTATAATCCCAGCTACTTGTGGGGCTGAGACGGGAGGATTGCTTGAGCCCGGGAGGCTGAGGCTGCAGTGAGCTGAGACCATGCTACTGTACCCCAGTTTTTGCAACAGAGACCCTGTCTCAAAAAAAAAAAAATTAAAAATTAAAAAGTCTACAAAGAACCTGTACAATAAAGTTCATGGCAGCATTATTCATAATAGCGAAAAACTAGCAGCATCTTAAACATCCATCGGCTGGGCGCAGTGGCTCACACCTGCAATCCCAGCACTTTGGGAGGCCAAGGCAGGTGGATCACCTGATGTCAGGAGTTCGAGACCACGTGGTGGCGGGCACCTGTAGTCCCAGCTACTCAGGAGGCTGAGACAGGAGAATTGCTTGTACCCGTGAGGTGGAGGTTGCAGCGAGCTGAAATTGCGCCACTGCACTCCAGCCTGGGCGACAGAGTGAGTCTCCATCTCAAGAAAAAAAAAAAAAGTCCATCAACAGAGGAATTGCAGAAGCAAATATGCAAATTGCAGAAGCAAATTCAATAAGTTGAATTAACACATGGATGCATATCAAAAACATTATAGTGAGGCCAGGCACAGTGGCTCACGCCTGTAATCCCAGCACTTTAGGAGGCCGAGGTGGGCAGATCACGAGGTCAAGAAATCGAGACCATCCTAGCTAACATGGTGAAACCTTGTCTCTACTAAAAATACAAAAAATTAGCCGGGCGGTGGCGGGCGCCTGTAGTCCCAGCTACTCGGGAGGCTGAGGCAGGAGAATGGTGTGAACCCGGGAGGTGGAGCTTGCAGTGAGCCGAGATTGCACCACTGCACTCCAGCCTGGGCGACAGAGCAAGACTCTGCCTCAAAAAAAAAAAAAAAAATTATAGTGAGAAAGCAAAGCCAGATACAAAAGAATACATATTGTATAATTCATATGAAGTCGAGAAACAGACAAGAATAATTTATGGTGATGGAAATTAGAACTGTAGTGTTCAGAGGTGGGGGTGCAGGGAGAGGGGTGAGGTTTGATTGTAATAGAGCAACTTCCAAAATTGGTGGAAATAAACTATTTCTTATTGTGGGTGGTGTTTGCACACATGGATACATTTGTGAAACTCATTCAACTAAACACTTAAGTTTTGTTCATTTTATTATATGTTAATTATATCTCAATAACAACAACAAAAGCTACTTTAAAAGATCATCTTGACATCGTTGACTCTTAACACTTCAGAATGTGTTCAATACATATGGTGACATTTTTTGGTTACTCCAAGTTGTGACAGCATAACCTGTGATTAGGAGCACTGGAGTCTGGAGTCAGACTGCCTTGGCTCAAATTCTGAGTCTGTCATTTACCAGCTGTGTGACATTGGGCAAGTTTTTAAAATACTTCGTTTCTGTATCTCACTTTCTCACCTGTGAAACGAAGATTAGCAGTACCTCCTTTACATGGTTGTTGTAAGGATCAAGTGAATAGTTATATTTAAACACTTAGAATAGTACTAGGCAGGTCATAAGCCCTATGTAAATGTTAAGCCAAATCTCAATGTACAGATCAATTATAAGGTAAATGGAAGAGGTGATAAGCATTTTTTAAAAATCAGCAGTTAATGTGAAATCTTTTCCCTGCCACAAAGAAGGAATTTGTGGTGTAGTGAGTCTGCAACACTGTGTTACATGTATTAAAATTTTGAATCGTGATGCAGTCTGATATGACATGGTACTGAATGCGTTATTCCAGTAGGAGGAGCTCTCAGCAAGAGTTTAAAAGCACAGACACAGAGCCCAGCCCGCCTGCAGTCTCAGCTACTTGGGCGGCTAGAGTGGGAGGATAGCTTCAGCCCAGCAGTTCAAGGCTGTAGGGCACAATGAATAGCCACTGCTCCAGCCTGGGCAACATAGTGAGACTCTGTCTCAAAAAAACAAAACAAAACAAAACAAAACAAAACAAAAACATCGATAAGGTCCCTGGGGGAGCCAGACCTTCCATGTCTCTAGAATTTGTCCTTACTTAGCTCTCTGTGTCATGGTAGGGCAATAAGGAAATAAAATGCTGCTACAAACTATCTATCTATCTATCTATCTATCTATCTATCTATCTATCTATCTATCATCTATCTATCTATCTATCTTTTTCCCTTAGAAGCAGTACATTGGAATAAATGAATTTGTTTCAGATTTCAGACTTAATTTCCACTAGAGAAATAATGCATTCATGTTGTATTGGTAAAAAAAAAAAAAAAAGTATAAATTGCTGGGCCGGGCGTGGTGGCTCATGCCTCTAATCCCAGCACTTCGGGAGGCCGAGGAGGGCAGATCACCTGAAGTCAAGAGTTCGAGACCAGCCTGACCCACATGGAGAAACCCTGTCTCTAACTAAAAATACAAAATAAGCCGGGTGTGGTGGCGCATGCCTGTAATCCCAGTTACTTGGGAGGCTGAGGCAGGAAAATCGCTTGAACCGGGAGGTGGAGGTTGAACCCGGGAGCCAAGATCACGCCATTGCACTCCAGCCTGGGCAACAAGAGTGAAACTCCATCTCAAAAAAAAAAAAAAAAAGTATGAATTCCTAACTTATAAACTTCTATATTTGGAGGTTACAGTCTCTTTATATGTTTCTCTTCTATTTATTTTTATTTTTATTTTTATTTTTTTTTAGATGGAGTCTCAATCTGTCACCCAGGCTGGAGTCTCACTCTGTCACCCAGGCTGGAGTGCAGTGGCGCCATCTCGGCTCACTGCAACCTCCACCTCCCGGGTTCAAGTGATTCTCCTGCCTCAGCCTCCTGAGTAGCTGGGACTACAGGTGTGCACCACCACGCCCAGCTAATTTTTGTATTTTTAGTAGAGACAGGGTTTCAGCATGTTGGCCAGGATGGTCTCAATCTCTTGACCTCGTGATCTGCCCACCTTGGCCTCCCAAAGTGCTGAAATTACAGGCTTGAGCCACTGCACCCAGCCTCTCTTCTTTTTATGCCACCCATGTAAAAAAGTTTACGAGGCTTTCTTGGCCTCAGACTTCAAATTTACCCTTATGTTTCCATATAAAAAAGTCTATAAAGAACCTGTACAACTATATATATAGCTATAGTGTATATATATATGGTTATATAGAGTTTGTAGCAGCATTTTATTACATGGTATATATAAAAAGCTACACAGACACTCTGGAGATCCCCATTAGCAAAAATAATTTTAAATAATTTTAATCATTACAGGAAAAAGAGGATTCTGGACTAAAATTATTTTCCAAATAAACCACAATATCCTAACATGTGGACCACATATGTAGCTTGTTCCTGAATCTCATTGTACCATGCTGGCATCCCGAGCTTTTACATGTTTGTCATTTATTTCATAGTCGCCCTTGAAAAGCATGATTTAGGCCAGGCGCTGTGGCTCCCGCCTGTAATCCCAGCACTTTGGGAGGCTGAGGCGGACAGATCATGAGGTCAGGAGATTGAGACTATCCTGACTAACACGGTGAAACCCCATCTCTACTAAAAATACAAAAAATTAGCCGGGCGTGGTGGCGGGCGCCTGTAGTCCCAGCTACTCAGGAGGCTGAGGCAGGAGAATGGCGTGAACCCGGGAGGCGGAGCTTGCAGTGAGCCGAGATCGCGCCACTGCACTCCAGCCTGGGCAACAGAGCGAGACTCTGTCTCAAAAAAAAAAAAAGAAAGAAAGAAAAGCATGATTTAAAATCAAATCAATGAAAGGGGAGATGTCTCACTAATTTCAGGTTGCTAGGCAACTAGTCGATTCCACTACATCTCTTCTATTGCTCTGGAGATACAGAAAGGTTGGGAGAAAGTATGTACTATTTAGGTTAAATATATATTAGATAGATAGATAGATAGATAGATAGATAGATAGATAGATAGATAGATAATTTTTTCTAAAATAGAATCATTTCTAAGACAACTATTATTATTATTATCATTATTATTATTATTATTTCAGAAGGAGTCTCGCTCTGTTGCCCAGGCTGGGGTGCACTGGCACGATCCCACCGCACCCTCCGCCTCCTGGGTTCAAGTGACTCTCCTGCCTCATCCTCCCGAGTAGCTGGGATCACAGGCACGTGCCACCATGCCCGGCTAATTTTTGTTTTGTTCTTTTTTGTTTGTTTGTTTTGTTTTGTTTTTGAGACAGAGTTTCACTCGTGTTGCCCAGGCTGGAGTGCAATGGTGCGATCTCGGCTCACTGCAACCTCCGCCTCCCGGGTACAAGCAATTCTCGTGCCTCTCAGCCTCCCGAGTACTGGGATTACAGGCGCGTGTCACCATACCCGGCTATTTTTTTTTTTCTTTTTTTCTTTTGAGATGGAGTCTCACTCTGTCGCCCAGGCTGGAGTGCAGTGGCTCGATCTCAGCTCACTGCCAGCTCCGCCTCCCGAGTTCACGCCATTCTCCTGCTTCAGCCTCCCGAGTAGCTGGGACTACAGGTGCCCGCCACCACGCCCGGATAATTTTTTGAATTTTTTTTAGTAGAGACGGGGTTTCATCGTGTTAGCCAGGATGGTCTCGATCTCCTGACCTCGTGATCCGCCCGCCTTGGCCTCCCAAAGTGCTGGGATTACAGGCGTAAGCCAATGCACCCAGCCAAAATCTGTTTTTCTTAAAACTGATATCAAAGGCAAGTCTTTTTAGTACTGGCATTATTGTCACTGTATGTGTTTAGGGCTGCAAGGCCTGAACTTCAGTGGTTGATGATTTCGTGTAGGGACTCTTGCCTATAATTAAATGTACTCAGTTTATGATGATTCGTTTGGTATGTGATCTGAAATCATTTAGAAATATGAATTTTTCATCTCATATTTGTACTTCTTAAAATAATAATTAAAAACCTAAAAATAGCACTCATTATTAAAATTGCTAAAGATAGAATCCTTAACTAGTATCCCTCATCACTTTATTTAAAGGTCAGGTAATATCAAGGCAAAACTAGTCCAACCACCTTTCCAAGCTTGAACCTTCTCTGTCCCATGTTCTACCCCTGCCAAGTTGTTGCTTGGTCTAGTCTTTAGTATCTCCAGGAAAACTCACTACCTTTTAGCATAGCTTTCTCTAGTTCTCTCTTTACCTAAAATATACATAAATAAATACTAGTTAATCTGTAGAACCTTTCCCACAAATGTTTAGTATTATTTTATTTGAGACTATTGTAGCTTTTGCTATGATTTGAATGTCCCCTTCTAAACTCATGTTGAAATTTCATTGCTGGCTGGGCGTAGTGGCTCACGTCGTAATCCCAGCACTTTGGGAAGCCGAGGTGGGCGAATCATGAGGTCAGGAGTTCAAGACCAGCCTGACCAACATTGGTGAAACCCCATCTCTACTAAAAATACAAAAATTAGCCAGGCATGATGGCGTGCGCCTGTAATCCCAGCTACTCAGGAGGCTGAGACAGGAGAATCGTTTGAATCTGGGAGGTGGAGGTTGCAGTGAGCCGAGATTGCACCACTGCACTCCAGCCTGGGTGACACAGCAAGACACTGTTTAAAAAAAAAAAGGAAATTTCATTGCCATTGTGACCACATTGACAGGTGGAGCTTTTTTTTTTTTTTTTTTTTTGAGACAGAATCTTGCTCTGTCTCCCAGGCTGGAGTGCAGTGGTGCTATCTCAGCTCACTGCAAGCTCTGCCTCCCAGGTTCATGCCATTCTCTTGCCTCAGCCTCCCAAGTAGCTGGGACTACAGGTGCCTGCTACCATGTCCGGCTAATTTTTTTGTATTTTTAGTAGAGTTGGGGTTTCACCGTGTTAGCCAGGATGGTCTCGATCTCCTGACCTTATGATCCACCTGCCTCGGCCTCCCAAAGTGCTGGGATTACAGGCGTGAGCCACTGTGCCTGGCCGACAGGTGGAGCCTTTAAGAGGTAATTAGGCCATGAGGGCTCAGCCCTCTGAATGGACTAAGGCTATTATTATGGGAGTGGCTTAGTTTTAGAGGGAGTGGGCTCCTAATACAAGGATAAGTTCGACCCCAATTCCCCACTCTGTTTCATGTGCTTGCTTGCCATGTGATGCCTTGCATCTCTGGCTTTGGCCATGGGATGAGCCTCACCAGATGCTGGTGCCATGCTCTTGGACTTCCCAGCCTCCAGAACCCATGAGCCAAATAAACATCTTTTTAATAAATTACCCCATCTGTGATATTCCATTTAGAGCAACAGAAAATGAAATAAGACAATTTTTATGTGAATTCCTAATTTATCCATCCATTCACTCATCCATTCATCTGTTAATTTGTTTATTTACCATCCATTCAATTATTCATCACATACTCACTACCTGCTGCTGGGCTCGGCATGGGAATAGGGAAAAAACAGTAAACATGAAACTTGCTCTTTTTTCTCCTAAGGCCCAAAATGTTCCTGATGCCTACGTAGAGCTTCAGTGCTTCAAAATAGCTTAGTATCTATGTTAATATTAGCGTAGTTTTCAGAGACTTCACAAAATGGAATTTTAAAATTGTTTTTATTCTTCTGTTTTTTGTCTTTATTTTTTAACTTTTTTTTTTCTGCTCCCACTTCACTGGGATTATTTTATACTCCTTTAGCAGTCCCATGTAGATGTTTCTTGGTAGTCAGCCCTCCATCACAAGTGATTCAGGAATCCCAGCCCTTTCCATCTGGTGGCTTCATTCTCTAGGGCCTCAAGTTCTTTACACCTAGCTGGCTGGCAGGGGAAGAGAACATGTGGAGAAACACACCCATTTCTTAACTGCCTTGGCCAGGAGTGAGATACATCATTCCGATTGCAAGTATCAGTCACATGGCTCCACTTGGAGGTAGGGAGGTACTAGGAAATACAGTCTCTTGCTGGGCAGAGACTTCCTGGTTACAGTTCTATCACATGAGAGGACTCGTGGTGTACAATTAGCTGTCTCTGCTGCAATACCCAAAACACTTGCATGATTTTGCAGCTGTGAGTAAGATTATTTCGACATAGATAAATCACTGCTGGGATTGCTTACTTTTGTGGTCTAATACTTATATAATACTTAAATGTTTAAGTCTTTCAGAGATTATCTTCCTCCATCTAATTTTTTTTGTTTTGTTTACCTTATTTTTCTTTTTTTCTGATACAAGGTCTTGCTCTGTCACCCAGGCTGGAGTGTGCCATGGCATGATCATGGCTTACTGTAGCCTCAACCTCCCAAGTTCAAGCAATCCTCCCACCTCAGCCTCCTGAGTAGCTGGGACTACAAGCCTGTGCCACCATGCCTGACTAATTTTTAAAAATTTTTTTAGAGATGGGCGTTTCCCTGTGTTGCCCAGTTATAACATATATAACATATGTATTATATATGTTATATAATACATATATATATAAACTCCTTGGTTCAGGCTATCTTCCCACCTAGGCCTCCCAAATTGCTGGGATTACAAGGCTGAGCTACAGTGCGTGGCTTTTTTTTAATATAACAAAATTTATTTATTCAGTGTCTGCTAAGTGATTCTCTTTGGAGCAATGCTTAATTACAGTATAAAGTTATGACATGACATTTGTATCCATTGGTCCTATTAATAAACATCAGTTGCAGAGTATGAAGTTTGCAGTTACAAAATCTAAGTTTTTTACTGAGTAAAACTGAAAATGGCTAGCATTTACATAAAAATGGACAATTTTGCAAAATAGAAGTGATAATGGCACACAGTCCTAATTAGAAGGCTTACTTTCCTAAGAGCATGTGAGTGCCAGTGTATTTTCACTAGGTTTTGTCTTTTTGACATCTGCTTTTTTACAGTGCTGATGATTTCTGTTAATTTCATGAATGACACCTTTATCACATTTCAATCTATGATCTTTTTTTTTAAAGTTTTGTCTTAAGGCTTCAGTGTCTTCATTTGGAAAATAGTGTCATCATCCACAAAGACCTGGTAACAAACAGTGCATAGAAAAGTCATTGAGGACCGGATGCAATGGCTCAGGCCTGTAATCCCAGCACTTTGGGAAGCCGAGGTGGGCAAATCACATGAGGCCAGGACTTCGAGACCAGCCTGGTCAACATGGTGAAACCTCGTCTCTATTAAAAATACAAAAATTAGCCGGGCATGGTGGTGCGCGCCTGTAATCCCAGCTACTCGGAAGGCTGAGGCAGGAGAATCGCTTGAACCCGGGAGGTGGAGGTTGCAGTGAGCCGAGATCGTGCCATTGCACTCCAGCCTGAGTGACAGAAGGAGACATTGCCAAAAAAAAAAAAAAATTACTGAGGTCCTCAGGGCAAACTTGAAACAGCTGGGAAGATTTTGTATGTACGAGAAAGCCCAACCTAAAATTGTTTAAGGAACAAGGGAGTTTCTCATCTCAGAGAACAAGAGGTTTAAAGATGGTGAAGGCATGTGGCACATACACAGGTTGGCTGTTTCAGAGGGACAGTGACCTGGCCATTGTCTCTGGTCCTCCGGCCTCACTGTGTTGGCTGTGTCCTCTCACGGCCACAAGGTGGCAGCAGCAGCCGCGGGCACCGCAGCCTTCCTGGAGGAGCGGTTCTCCGACTCAGGACTACTTCCTTATCACAGGCTTAAAAACCAAGACGCCAAAGAGCTTTAAAAAAAAATAAAAAAATAAAAAAATTAAAAAATATATATATATATAAAATACATATATGTAATGTTAATCAATATTTACCATTTTATAAATAATAAACTGAAAATTTTAAAATATTGATTTATTATTTAAAAAATAATAAATCTATTACGTTAACATACACCATACATTTTTATGACAAAAATAACTATAAAAAATTTATATAACTATATAAACTTATACAAATAAATTTATATAACTATATAAACTTATACAAATAAATTTATATAACTATTAAAAATTATTAAAAAACTATATAAAAAATTTAGTGAGAAGGTGGCACTGTTTTACATTTTTACATGTCTTTGATGTGGGCTCCAGTGAGGACAGGCGGTTTCTCCTATCTGCTTCTCATGCAATCTGTTGTACATTGCACATCATCACATAGCCTCTGGAAGAGTTCAGCGTACACTCGCAAGAGGTGAGAGTGGAAATGACATCTTACTATTATTATGAAAACGATTTGACCCAAAGACCCCCTGAAAGGGAGAGTCCTTATGCCTCTTTCAAAAGCTAAGAAACGGGCTGGGCTCAGGGGCTCATGCCTGTAATCCCAGCACTCTGGGAGGCCGAGGTGGGTGGATTACTTGAGGTCAGGAGTTCGAGACCAGCCTGGCCAACATGGTGAAACCCCATTTCTAGTCTCTACTAAAAATACAAAATTAGCCGGGCGTGGTTGCATGTGCCTGTAATCCCAGCTACTCAGGAGGCTGAGGCAGGAGAATCGCTTGAACTTGGGAGGCAGAGGTTACAGTGAGCTGAGATTGCACCACTGCCCTCCAGCCTGGGTGACAGAGCTAGACTCCATCTGAAAAAAAAAATACATAAAATTAAAAAAATAAAGGCTAAGAAACGGTTTCTGAAAGGCTTTCCCAGTACGGTACCCCCCCCGAGCGTAACTGACCAGAACTGGATCATTTGCCTGTTTCTAAGGAAAGAGAATAGCATTGGCAGGATTTGCTTATACCAATGGCTCTCAAACTTGGTGTGCATCAGAATCACCTGTGGAGTGTGTTAAACCACGGACTGTTCAGGCCCCCAACAGCAGGGCTCTCATTCAGGAAGTTTGGCATGGAGCCTGAAAATGTCCATTTTTAACAATCCCCATGACTGCTTCTGCTGCTGGGCCAGGGACCACATGGTGGGAACCACTGGCACAGCCCAATCAGGATGTGGGGATGTGGCCAGGCTTCCTGGAGTGGACTGTGATATGGATACACGCGGATATCTTAATAAACTAGGGTTCATTAGCAAGCAAGTCGGGAGAATGGCTGCGGGTACAACCAACAGTATTTGCTATCCTTATATTCTCAGAAAATTTATGGTGGACTCCTCCAAAATAAATGCTTGAACAATGGTCCTGTTAGTGACTTTTTACTGGTTATCAAGTATATCTTGGATTCACGGTCAAGGGAAGAAAAGGGTGGGGGAGGGCGAAAGGGAAAAAAAGGAAAGCATGGCATTGAGATAGAAATTTAACTTTAGGGCCTAACACGTGGCTCACACCTGTAATCCCAACACTTTAGGAGATGGAGGCAGGAACATCACTTGAGCCCAGAAGTTTGAGAACAGCCTGGGCAACATATTGAGACCCCTATCTATTAAAAAGAAAGAAAGAAAGAAATTTAACTTTAAAATGCCCCAGTTTGTTTTTTTGTTGTTGCTGTTATTTTGTTTGTTTTTCTCTTTATAGCCCTCCTGGCTTGAGAAATTTACATTGGATGAACTTGCTGAGGAAAAACAAAATATAATTGGGAGCCAAGTGTGGCAGCTCATCCCCATAATCCCAGCACTTTGCAAGGGCGAGGTGGGAGGATTGCTTGAGGCCGAGAGTTCAAGACCAGCCTTGGCTACAGACTGAGACCTCATCTGTACAAAAAATTAAAAAATTAGTTGGCCATGGAGGTGTGTGCTTGTAGTCCTAGCTACTCAAGAGGCGGAAGCGGGAGGATTCCTTCAGCCCTGGAATTGGAGGCTACAGTGAGCTAAGAGCATGCCACTGCACTCCAGCCTAGGTGACAGAACGAGACTCTGTTTCTAAAAAAAAGTTTGTTTATTTTTTTCTTTTTTTGAGACACAGTCTTGCTCCAACGGTGCAAGAGTCTTGCTCCAGGCCAATGGTGCGATCTCGGCTCACTGCCACCTCCACCTCCTGGGTTCAAGTGATTCTCCTGCCTCAGCCTCCAGAGTAGCTGGGATTACAGGCAGCCACCACCACACCCAGCTAATTTTTGTATTTTTAGTAGAGACAGGGTTTCACCAGATCAGCCAGGCTGGTCTTGAACTCCTGATCTCAGGTGATCCACCCGCCTTGGACTCCCAAAGTGCTGGGATTACAGGCAGGAGCCACCGCGCCTGGCCCTAAAAAAATGTTTTCAAGATACTTCTTATGGGAGGTTGATATAAATATTCCAAACTACAGCAAAATCATGGGTCAGAAAAGAGCCCTATATATATTTATATGAGTGAATTTAAAGAGCTACAGGGCTTTTGAGTTGGGAAGGGTCAGGGAACAATGCCCCCTGCCCATTTCATAGACTCTGAAATGGAGGCTGGAGAGATGTAGTGGTGTGCCCAGGTGGCGGCACAGATGAGAACCCAGGCCATGTGACCGTCTATTCTTCAGAAGTCTCAGTTAGTTCTTCCAAGTGGTGGTGAACACAAACACAAAACCAGATAGAACAGATTCTACACGACAGATAAGACCAAAGCATTTAAGGGGATCACTATTTGAGAGAAGTCACGTCCAGTGAATGATGCTTCAGCTATAGTAGTCTTCAGGCTCAGATGTGACAACCCTCGGCTGCCAGCTCCACGGCTCTCCCACCCAGCAGCTCTGCAGAAGGCAGCCAGCTTCCTGAGGCTTGGCTCAAAACTGGCTCCAGCACGGACACCTCCCAGCCCTGGGCCTCCATTCTGGCTCCTTCCCACGTGGCCCCACAAGTAAATCACGGATTCCATCTCACTTTGCTCTCTCAGTCACCAAACTTCAAGGCCTCCAGCCCTCCCCTGCCTCAGGCCTTGTACAGGGCCAGCCTGTCACACCCTTCACGCTGAGCCTTGTAGAGGAAGGTGTGGGGGTCATTGATCCCTTTCCTCCAGGAGGAACGCGAGTTTCTTTAATAAAATCACTCTTCCTCTGTCCCAGAGAACATTTTCCTTTTTTTTCTTTTTTGGGATGGAGTCTCACTCTGTCACCCTGGCTGGAGTACAGTGGTGCGACCTCAGCTCACTGCAACCTCCACCTCCCAGGTTCAAGCAATCCTCGTGCCTCAGCCTCCCGAGTAGCTGGGACTACAGGTGCGTGCCACCACACCCAGCTAATTTTTTTTGTATTTTTAGTAGAGATGGGGGTTTCACCATGTTGGCCAGGCTGGTCTCGAACTCCTGACCTCAGATAATCCACCCACCTCAGCCTCCCAAAGTGTTGGGATTACAGGCATGAGCCACCGTGTCCGGCCCCAGGGAACACTTCTACACAAGAGGTGGGGAAGCTTTTCGAAAACTACCAGAAAAAAATTGTTCCCCAAAGAGTCATGGCTACCTGCCTTAACAGCTGCTTACCTAAGACCAAGTCAGTGCCTTTTTATTGTTGTTGCTGTTTGTTTGTTTTGAGACGGAGTCTTGCTCTATCCCCAGGCTGGAGTGCAGTAGCACTATCTTAGCTCACTGCAACCTCCGCCTCCCGGGTTGAAGTGATTCTCCTGCCTCAGCCTCCTGAGTAGCTGGGATTACAGGCGTGCGTCACCACACCCAGCTAATTTTTATATTTTTAGTAAAGACGAGGTTTCACTATGTTGGCCAGTCTGGTCTCAAACTCCTGACCTCAGGTGATCCACCAACCTTGGTCTCCCAAAGTGCTGGGATTACAGATGTGAGCCACTGCTTCTGGCCCCAAGTCAATGCCTTTTGAACTGTCCACCATCCTGCTTAAAGAAAGTGTGGGCGAGGTGCAGCAGCTCCCACCTGTAATTCCAATACTCTGGGAGGCCGAGGTGGGTGGATTGCTTGAGCCCAGGAGTTTGAGACCAACCTGGGCAACATAGTGAGACCCCCCCCTTTTTTTTTTTTTTTTTGAGACAGAGTCTTGCTCTGTCGCCCAGGCTGGAGTGCAGTGGCGCAATCTCGGCTCACTGCAAGCTCCGCCTCCTAGGTTCACGCCATTCTCCTGTCTCAGCCTCCCGTGTAGCTGGGACCACAGGCACCTGCCACCATGCCCAGCTAATTTTTTTGTATTTTTAGTAGAGACGGGGTTTCACTACTGTTAGCCAGGATGGTGAGACCCCCATCTTTACAAAAAATAAAAAAATTAGCCAGGTGTGGTGGCATGCACCTGTGGTCCCACTACTCAGGAGGCTGCAGCAGGAGGATCATCTGAGCCTGGAGAGGTTGAGGCTGCAGCGAGCTGTAATCACGACACTGCACTCCAGCCAGGACAATAGAGCAAGACCTTGTCTCAAAAAAAAAAAAAAAAAAGAAAATGTGTACCCAACGATGTGCATCTACTGAGAGTCTGCTCAGAATTCAGGGCCCTAAAGGACCACCTCAGCAATGAAAGGATCGGGAGGAAGGAGAGTGGCGCTTCAAGTGTGTACAAAGTACCGCAGCCCGCTCACCTCTTCCCTTCTCCCGAATGGGGGAAGCAGACAAGGACAAAAGCTCTCTTTTCTTGTAAGCCATCTTCTCCTTTCCAGAGTGAACCAAGCAGGCCTTTTGGTTCTAGATCTTGGTCCAGGTATTACTTTGCTCTGGGAGGCTCTGAGCAGGCTGGGAAGGGGACGAGTTAGCTGATTAGAGCCTCGAGCCTTTAAGGCAGAGGGTGAGTAGGACCCCGGGTTGCATTCTGTGTGTCCAGGCCAGGCCATCAGAGTCAAAAGATAGAAGTGGGTGGGCTAAGGCTACTTTGCAAGGCCACACACCTCCCTGGCGACTGCCCTAGCAGAGGCCCTTCCTTTTCTGATCCAAAGCCCCTTCATAGGTTCCCACACACTTGTTCTCATTTGGACACTGCCTGGTTTAAAGTAGAAGCTCAATAAATAATCAAAAGGGAACAACCGGGCCGGGCATGATGGCTCACACCTGTAATCCCAGCATTTTGGGGGTCCGAGGCGGGTGGATCACGAGGTCAAGAGATCCAGACCATCTGGCCAACATGGTGAAACCCCGTCTCTACTAAAAATACAAAAATTGGCTGGGCATGGTGGTATGCACCTGTAGTCCCAGCTACTTGGGAAGCTGAGGCAGGAGAATCACTAGAACCCGGGAGGCGGAGGTTGCAGTGAGCCGAGATCGCGCCACTGAACTCCAGCCTGGCGACAGAGCAAGACTCCGTCTCAAAAACAAAAAACAAAAAACAAAAAAAAAAGGAACAACCCTCCCATACAATTGCTCTCAATGGGACAAAGTTCACCAGCAGAGGCTTGTAAGTGTGTTTCTTCCCAGGTTAAACATTCTTATTTTCTTCTTCAGGTGTTTATAAAACTGTATGACATTGTAAGACAGCTTCTGGAGTCCTCACCATCCTGGCCACCCTCAAAGGATGTGCTGCAACTCATCACTGTTTCTTCACGTGTGGCTGTGGTGGCCTCCAGAACTGCAGGACAGTCTGCAGGTGGCATGGCTGAGCGGAGCACAGCGGGGCTACAGCGTTTCACCTGGTGCCGGACGCTGGGTTTCCAGTGATGAAGCCTCAGCTGGTGCTGGCATTTTTGGCTCTCAGGACACCTCGAAAGGGGAGGGGCTTGCATCTTATTCTTCAAAAGCTCTGACTCCTCCGCCATCTCCTTATGTCCAGGATCCAGTTTCCCTATCCCTGTGCTGAGTGTCTTGGTGGCTGAAGGGCTTGAGACAGCAGAAACTTTGGACTCTGAGTTATGTCGCAGCCAAGAAGGAGGGGAGTTGCCCAGCAGGCTGCTTGGTGACAGGGAGGCAGGGAAGAGGCCTGCAAGAAGAGCTGCTGGAGCTTCATTGTCTGGATGTCTTAGAGGAACATGATGGCCAAGGAGGGGTGCAAAGAAGTGTGGAGAGAAGGGAAGGGAACAGAGGCCAACCCAGGTGCCTGGCTGGCTGTGACTATGGATCCCTTGTGCCCCCAGGCCCAGCCTTAGGGTAGGACAGTGGTGATTAACCACCGCCAGGAGCACAGCCACGTTTTAATAAGTGGTCAAGATACACTGTTACCAGAATGCCTATCAGATTCAGTTGGGCTCTGAGCTCACTGTGTGACCCAAGGCAGATGCAAAGCAAAGTTATTTGAAGAGTAACTTTCAAAGAAAGGTCACGTATCTCAGAACTTTTGGGAGCTTGGTCAGGGTAGTAAGAAGCTTTTCCCAAACTTGACTCTAGAGCTACAGGCCCACCAGCTGACAGTCACGATCACGAATGCCACATGAGGGATGCTGTTTCTTACAGCAATTATCATTTTGCAATTATTATGCGGTTTTAATTTCTTCAAGTGTGTTGCCAAAATCTACTGTTTAAAAGTATTTAAACACAACAAAATGGGACTAATTGGACGTGTGGGATTTCAAAGGACAGTGGAAGGGTCCCCATTACCAGATCTCCCTCCTAATGGCTCCCAAATGCCACAGATTTCTAAATAAGCAGCAACATTTTTCATTTCACAATTAGAAAGGATTTTAGAGAAGCATAAAATGCAGGCCTCCCAAAGGGCTGGGAGGCTCATGCCTGTAACCCCAGCCCTTTGGGAAGTCAAGGCAGGAAGACTGGCTTGAGCCTAGGAGCAATACAGGGAGATCTCGTCTCTACAAAAAATTTAAAAAATTAGCCTGGTGTGGTGGTGTGCACTTGTGGTCCTAGCTACTCGGGAGGCTGAGCTGGGAGGGTCACTTGAGCCTGGGAGGTTGAGGCTGCAGTGAGCCAAGATTGTACCACTACACTCCAGCCTGAGCAACAGAGCAAGATCCTGTCTCAAAAAAAAATTCATAACAGATGTAATAGATTATTATAAATGAGTTTTAAAAGTTTTAAATCACTTTTGTTCTGAACATGCAGAGGGAGAATAGATTCCTAAGGGGGCAGGGGTAAGGTAGGGGACAGAAGGCACACACTGAGGGAAACAGGGACAGAAAGAACAGCAAAAATAAGAACGAACAAGGCACAGAGTTTGGCCCACGGTAAGCATTTAATAAAACTTAGCTATTATTATCATTGTTATTTTTCAGAAACAGGATTTCACTCTGTCGACCAGGTTGGAGGGCTGTGGCCTGATCACAGCTCACTGCAGCCTCCAACTCCTGGGCTTAAGTGATCCTCCCACCTCAGCCACCGAGTAGCAGGGGACTACAGGTGCGTGCCACCACCGTGTCTGGTCCTTAGGTATTATTATTATTATTTTTGAGATGGAGACTCACTCTGTCGCCCAGGGTGGAGTGCAGTGGCACAATCCTGGCTCACTGCAAACTCTGCCCCCCAGGTTCAAGCAATTCTCCTGCTTCAGCCTGCTGAGGAGCTGGGACTACAGGCGGCCGCCACCAGGCCAAGCTAATTTTTGTATTTTTATTAGAGACGGGGTTTCACCATGTTCAGGTTGGAGGTATTATTGTTAGTAGTGGTAGTATTTTTTTTTTTGAGACGGAGTTTCGCCCTTTTTGCCCAGGCTGGAGTGCAATGGCACAATCTCGGCTCACTGCAACCTCCGCCTCCTGGGTTCAAGCCATTCTTCTACCTCAGCCTCCCAAGTAGCTGGGATTACAGGCATGCGCCACCATGCCCGGCTAATTTTTTGTATTTTTAGTAGAGACAGGGTTTCTCCATGTTGGTCAGGCTGGACTCAAACTCCCGACCTCAGGTGATCCGCCCACCTTGGCCTCCCAAAGTGCTGAGATTACAGGCGTGAGCCACCGCACCCGGCTTATTACTATTATTATTTGAGAGAGAGTCTCGCTGTGTCTCCCAGGGTGGAGTGCAGTGGCATGATCTCGGCTCACTGCAACCTCTGCCTCCTGGGTTCAAGTGATTCTCCTGCCTCAGCCTCACAAGTAGCTGGGATGACAGGTGTGTGCCACCACGCCCGGCTAATTTTTGTATTTTTAGTACAGATGGGGTTTTGTCACGTTGGTCAGGCTGGTCTTGAACTCATGATCACAGGTGATCCACCTGCCTTGGCCTCCCAAAGTACTGGGAATACAGGCATGAGCCACTGTGCTCGGCCCAAGTATTATTTTTTGACTGAGCACCTCTTGTGTGCCAGGCATATAATTTACATATTTTATTTGATTATTTCAACAGCACTGTGAGGGAGATATTGTTTTTTGAATGTATGGCTAAAGACACAGCATTTGGAATATTGTTCTTGTTTGTCACTTGTTAGTAAGTGGTAGAACCAGGACTTCAGTGAAGATATTTGCTCCAAAGACATTCGCAAAACCACTGACACTGTGCAAAATGACACAGGCAGAAAACAAACTTGAGGGACTTCTCAGTTTTGCTGAGAGTTGGGTGTATTTGTACCCAAGAGTGCTGGATAAGAGAGAGTTTATACCTGTGGGCCTTATGGAAAACTATGGTATTATTAGAAGAGTAGTTTCAAGGTTTGTATTTTTTTTTTCATTTTGCAGAAGCAAGAACACCTGTATCATTCAGTCTTGATGGTATTTGTTGTATCATTTTTATACTGTTACATAGATTGTATTTATTAAGTCAAGAAAGTTCATCTTTAATCCTTCTTCTCTTTAGTCTGACAGCAAGGGTCAAAATTTCCATAATTTGCTCCAGGCCAGGGCCAAGCAAATGAATGCTGATCCCTGATCCGTGTGTGTGTGCGCGCGCGCGCAAGAGAGAAAGGGTTTAAAAAATGTTATGTATATATTTTGGCCAGGAGTGGTGACTCATGCCTGTAATTCCAGCACTTTGGGAGGCCGAGGTGGGCAGATAACCTGAGGTCAGGAGTTTGAGACCAGCCTGGCCAACATGGTGAAACCTCGTATCTATTAAAAATACAAAATTAGATGGGCATGGTGGTAGCGCCTGTAATCCCAGCAATCCCAGCTACTCGGGAGGCTGAGGCAGGAGAATTGCTTGAACCTGGGAGGCGGAGGTTGCAGTTAGCGGAGATCACACCACTGCACCCCAGCCTGGGCAACAGAGTGAGACTCCGTCTCAAAAAAACAAACAAAAAAGTTATGCACACATTTTAAAGTAATTCTGTACAGAAATTGTAAATTTTGAAGGCAAGGGCCATATCATATTCTTCCTTTGATCTCTCCACAGTATTTAACATAACATTGAGCACTAAACTGAAGTGCAATACTAATTACATTGAGCGAAGATTATCTTTTAAGGTACTCTAAGATGTAAATGTAGTTTTATTTCTTAAGGTTTTCAAAATTAAGTTTTGGAGTGCTTATAAAATATAATCAAATAATGCTGATCTTAATGCTTCTATTAAATGCGTTATACATATATATTATATATATACTCTTTTTGAGACAGGGTCTCACTCTGTCACCCAGGCTGGAGTGCAGTGGCGCAATCTCGGCTCCCTGCAACCTCTGCCTCTCGGGGTTCAAAGGATTCTCGTGCCTCAGCCTCCGGAGTAGCTGGGACCACAGTTAAATGCATTATATTTATACGCATTCAAACATGAGGCAACTATTCTTGGTTCAGTTACTTTTAAATTAATATTTAATTTTCTTGTGTTAGAGCCGGGTTTCGCTATGCTCAGGCTGGAGTCCACAGGCATGATTATAGCTCACTGCGGCCCCCAGCTCCTGGTCTCCAGGGATCCACCCGCCTCAGCCTCCGGAGTAGCTGGGGACTACACGCCACGCTTGGCTTACCTTTTTAAAAATAAAAAAAGTCTAGGTAGCATTTGTCAAAATTTGTAAAATTAGGTCAAGTGTGGTGGCTCATGCCTGTAATCTCAACACTTTGGAAGGCAGAGGCAGGAGGATCACTTGGAGCCAGGAGTTCGAGATGAGCCAGGGCAACAGAGCGAAACTCCTACACTGAAAAAAAAAAAATCACAAATGAGCTGGGCATGGTGGCGGGCACCTGTAGTCCCTAGCTACTCGGGAGGCTGAGGCGAGTATTCATGGAATTTCAGAATTTAACAAACTCGGTCCAACTTTTTTTTTGACAAAATTCACAGAATCAGTAATTCTTAAGTCTGAAACGGATTCGAAAACTTTTGCAGACAGGCAAAACAGAAAACAACGCTGAGCCCTTGCGGAAGAGTCGCTGCTATTCCTAACTATATGGGGCCTCTAATGCTTCAAATCAAGGAAAAAAGAATGCTTTTTTTTTTAAACTACACGTGTGAAGAGTCACACAATCAGCTATGCTATTTCTTTGCACAAGCTGGAAAAAGAAGAGATTATCAAGTTTCGTTGTTAGCAGGACATCCATCAAATTTAACAGGAGGGGGAAGGCTGTGAATTGTTCTTCCCTGAGTTAAAATGACGCTATCCGGTCCTTTCTCCATGGACAACTGAAGAAGAGATCCTCTGGGATGTTACCATCGCGGCCACTCGGGTGACCGTTTTCCCGGGGAGCTGCGCGGGTCGGTGGTGACAGCGCTTCTGTGCTCCCGGCGGCTTTCCCTGTAAGACATAATGGGACTGGGACGTCCACTTCCGGCTCAAACGAAGTTCAGACGGCGCGCAAGCCGCGCGGTGCCCGGGTGCTGAGGCCGTCCCGAGCCAGGAGACTGGAGGCCTAGGCCCGGCACTGTGGGCATCTTGGGCACCGTGGCGCGGTGCGGGCCGGGGGCGGGGGTCTCCCGGGGTGGCGACGCCGGGGGTGCGAGCAGGTGGCCCGGGCAGGCGGCGGCTCCGGTGGCGGGCGGCGCGGCGGCCCGCGGGGTGGCGTTGGGGACGCGAGCCCTGGGCCGGGGAGGGAGGGCGGCCGGGGGGCGCCAACGGCCGGCGGTGGGGGCCGGGGCGGTAGCGCCGGCCGGGGAGGCGCCGCTCGCCGCGCCGGGTCACGTGGCGCGGTCACGTGGCGCGCAGCCGGGCCGGCGGCGGCGGCGGTGAAGGGAGGCGGAGACTCGGCCGAGACGCGGGGGGAGGCGGCGGCGGCGGCGATGCGGGGCTGCTGGAGGCGGAGAGGCACGGAGGAGCCGCTGGGGCTGCCGCCACGGCCGCCCGGAGGTGAGCGGGCGCGGGGCCACTGTCGCCGCCGCGCAGTCCCGCGGGAGGGGGCGCCGGCCCGAGCGTCGTCCCTGCCCCGCCGGGCGTGTGTGCCCCTGCGGTGGGCCCCGGGGTCTGCGCGGCGGGCTTGGTGGGCGCGGCGGGCGGGGGTCGGGGCGGTGGCTGCGGGAGTCTTGGGAGGGGGCGGCGCAAGGGGGCGTCTGACCCGGGCCCGGCGGCCGTGGCCGCTGCTTGGCTGTGGGAGCCTTTTGTCTCCGCGTGTGAGAAAATGGGGCGAAAGCTGAGCGCGGGGCGGGCGTGCGTGTGGGGTGGTGCGTGTGGTGTGTGTGTGAGATCGGGAGGCGTTTGGCTTGGAGCCATTTTTTTTTCTTAATTGTGGAGACAGAAAATCCCTGAAAACGGTTTCCCCAGGGAGACTGGGCTGCGCTCCTCCTCTTCCTCCCCGGCGTCGGGCCCGAGCGGCTTCCCCGGCCGCGCCGCCACCTCCCCTGCCGGACCAGTCTCCCCAGCCCGCCTGCCCCACCTTCCGCGAAGCCCCCGGGCGAGCCGGGTGACTGCAGAGCGGGCCGGGTCACCTGTCGTGGCAGCTGCATGGAAATCCCGGCGCTTCTGCTGTCTGGAGTCTGTGCTGTTTCCTCTGGCAAATCACGGAGATTCTGTTCCGAGCACCAACCCTTCCTCTTTGCCATGCGCTCCACAACGCAGAGCAGGACGCCGATTCCGAAGTTTGACCCGCTTGGGGCAATTAGCTGGGAGGTGTCTACTTCTTCCTGTGGCGACACCGCTTCAGGGATGGGAAGGTGAGGGTGGTCTGGCTTTGTGGAAGGAAACGAGGGTGACACAGCCCTCTCCGAGGTTGAGGTCCGTTAGGGTCCTAATTCCTTCTACCTGCTGAACTGCCCTTGTCATCAGAAAGTCTCTTAAGACTTTCCTGTCGGGGATAATCAGCTCCCCTCGCCAGGAACTGTCTCCTGGATCTCTTTGGGGTCTCCCCCACGCCCTTTTGTTTTACAGTAGTTCAGCACCTTAAGGATATCCTTTAAGTCATTGCAATAGGCAGGTTTATGAAAAAGCACAGAGGAAGTTATTTCTAAGGTTTTGAAGGACGTAAAAACCCGTTGCAGGTGTGGGTGTGGGTCCCTTCCTTTGTGCCTCTTCCTCCGTGTCTGGGTTCTCCATTTCTTAGTTGAAGTTCTTGCAGACAAACCCGCTGGGAATGGTGCGGTGGTCCTGGAAAGTTCTCCCCGGGCTCCGCAGCGCCAGATTGCTGGGGTGTGAGGTTGTGATGGATGAGAAGTGACAGGGCACCTTGCACATAGCCACACTGCAATCCAGAGAGGCCATGGGCACACTCATCTCGCGTTGTGCAGTGATAGCCATATTCTGAATGGGAGAGTCACAAGTGTCCTGTCTTCTAGTGAAGTCCTTGATAGGTAACTGGCATGGAAGTGATGATATGAATAAATTGTGAATAGCTAAATTTGATGTTTAGTTCTTCAGTTTAAAGAATAGTACTTAATTTGTGTGAAAGTTGTTAGACGATGTGGATTTCCTTTAAGAATTTTAAGAGCTCTATATTAGGGCTGTGGAAGTAGCAGGTTTATTTATTTATTTTTGGTTTTGTTTTTTACATGATGTGGGGAGGTGTTGGCTTCCGGAGTTAAAGTCCGTAGTGCTGAATTAGAGGGAGGAATATGGAGAAAAATGTTTTCAACACAATGGAACTTTCATACATGGAAGATGATTAGGAAGTCATGATTGCTTCCTGTGGTTGAGAAATACGAACTTTATGCATTTACTATTGTTTATTTTAAAATAATGTCCTCTTCATTTAGAAAGAGTTTGTGTGTATAAATCATATTTATCTTTCAGCCTTGCATATGGAGCTCTAAGAGTGGCAGTTTGGTTATTCACAGTTTTTTACCTACCAAAACTCTGAATAGAAAAAGATGTTTAACCCATAAAGCAATGTGTGGTACCTGAAGCCTGTTTTAAATGGAATCATCCAACATTGATGCTGAGATGGCGAGTAATGGAAGAGTCAAGAGACAGCAGCCTTCCTTCAGGCCAAATTTCAGCCCTCTCACTGGATAGTTTATAGGACAGTGGGAAGCCCAGGTTTTCTTTTTGATTTTGCTATAGATTCCAGTATCTGAATTCAGGAAGGTTTGTGGAGTGGCTACCATGTGCATGGCTAAGCTAGGTCGGAATTTTTATTCATCTGTTCTACTCATTTGCAACATCAATTAACAATCTCCTGGAGAGAGTGAAGATAGAGTGGCTCAGCTATGCATGTGATTTGTAAAATGCATTTAAAAACTGAGTACAACCTCTTATGAAATGCTGTGATTTAGTTACTGCATGGGTTTCTGTTTAGCATTCTGTGCAGCATTTCAGTATTACCAAAAGCCTTACAGAAATTGTACATTTGTCTTTAGTGAGACTTCATGGAATATGTAATTAAAATGTCAAATGTGTTTTAATTTGGCTGAGATAATGTTAATTTAGTTACTAAATTGTAACATACTAAACATACTAATTTTTTGTGGTAAAATGTACATACCATAAAATTTATCATCCTGGCTGGGTGTGGTGGCTCCCGCCTATAATCCCAGTACTTTGGGAGGCTGGGGCAGATGGATCCCTTTAGGCCAGGAGTTCGAGACCAGCCTGGCCAACATGGTGAAACCCTGTCTCTACTAAAAATACAAAAATTAACCAGTTGCTGTGGCACACACCTGTAATCCCAGCTACCTGAGAGGCAGAGGCAAAAGAATTGCTTGAACCCGGGAGGCTGAGGTTGCTGTAAGGTTGCAGTGAGCAGAGGTTGCACCACTGCACTCCAGCCTGGGTGACACAGCGAAACTCTGTCTCAAAGAAAAAAAAAAAAAACTTAAATTTTCAGTGTACAGTTCAGTAGCATTAAGTATATTCACGTTGTCATGCAACTATCACTTCTGTCCAGAACTTTGTTCAGATTCCCAAACTGAAACTCCAGACCTGTTAAACCCCAACTCTTTCTTTTCCCCTCCCTGCAGCCCCTGGAAACCACCCCTCTATTTTCTATCTCTATGAATTTGACTACTCTAGGTACCTCATGTAAGTGCAATCACACAGTATTTGCCCTTTCATGACTGGCTTATTTCACTTAGCGTGATATCCTCAGGGTTCATCCATGTTATAGCATGTGTCAGCATTTGCATCCTTTTGTTCTTGCTGTTGTTTCTAGAGACAAGGTCTCACTATGTTGCCCAGGCTGGTCTTGAACTCCTGGGCTCAAGCAGTCCTCCCAGCTAGGCCTCCCGAAGTGCTTGGTTTACAGGCATGAGCCACCACGCCCAGCCGAATTCCTGTCCTTCTAAAAACTGAATAATATTCCATTGTATGTATATACCACATTTTGTTGATAAACGTTCTAGATTTTTGTATACTAAATGTTAGTAACTGTGGTACTTCATGATGATCAGGAACCTTGTATTTGACCTTAGTGAAAAGACCACGAGGCAATGATCAGGAACTCTGATTAGAAGTTATAGAACACTTATTTTATTAAAACAAATTAAATTAATTAAATTAGTTAAAACAAATTCGTTATTGTTTAATGCATAGAAACTCTTTAAAATGAGGACCCATGGGGGATAAAACCAGTACGTGTGTTAAATCCTTGCTGGGTCCTATCACTTCCCTTCTATATGGATGATGACATTCCAGCACATCTTCCTGAAATTGCGGCTGATGCAGATGTTGTTTTTATTTCCCAGCTAATGTTGTAGTGGTGGTATATTTTGCTGAATGGAAAGGTATATTCATTTATAGGGCTCCTTTAAAATTCAATAAATCTTAAAGGGAAATGTAGGTAAATGTTAATAGAATTCCAGTATGGGAAAAGTCTTTCTAAGCTTAACACCAAATGGAAACCTATAAAGTAAAAGATTTGACAGCAGTTTTTACAGCATATGTTATTTTCAGTGTCTGTATAGTGAAGAATGGCATGAGCAAAAAGACAAATGACAAACTGGAAAAATATGTGCAACATATATTAAACATCTCAATTTATATAGACCCTTAAAAATCAATAAGAAAAAGATGAACAGTTCATTAGAAAAATGGGCTAAGGACATGAGCAGATCTTTTTTTCTTTACATTTCAACTATTTATCATGGAATTCTTTTTTTTCTTGTGGCCATTCATTTAATTAAGTGAAGAACATCAGTGTATTAAGAAAGTTCCTCTTTATCACATGATATTTCTAAGCAGATATTTTGGAATGCTCAGAAGATTCCACTTTCAGTCACCTAAGGCCTCCATAATTTAAAGTGGAACTTGAACAGAAAGAAGTGTCTTCAGACTCTAGCTGAAATAGTAGAAGTAGTTTCTGTTTAAATCCTGGAAAACCTTAGATAAGGTTTGTGAAGCTGAAAAAAGATCAAATCAGCACACACAGATAAAGGATACAACAGATACCAAGATGGGTAAATGCCCAATTCTTTTCTTTTTTTTTTTTTTTTTTTTTTTTTTTTTTTTTTTTGAGATAGGGTCTTGCTCTGTCACCCAGGCTGGAGTGCAGTGGCCCCATCTCGGCTCACTGCAACCTCCGCCTCCCAGTTTCAAGCGATTCTGCCTCAGCCACCCGAGTAGCTGGGACTACAGGTGCGTGCCACCACACCCAGCTAATTTTTGTATGTTTAGTAGAGACAGGGTTTCACTGTGTTGGCCAGGCTGGTCTCAAACTCCAGACCTTGTGATCTGCCCACCTCAGCCTCCCAAAGTGCTGGGATTACAGGTGTGAGCCACCGTGCCCGGCCATATTTTCAGTCCTCATAATCTGTACAAAGCTATGAGGCAACCAGTAGGCCATATCTCACTAGGCAGACTTTGAGGAAGATGTTTTCCATTTGAAACACAAGGAATTATTTATGAAAATATGGAGATGAAGAGGGAGCAGTTCTGTGCTTCTTGCTGTATTACCTTTATTATATTCCTAATGTTACCGAGACTAGTTTAAAAACAGCCTTCAACAAGAATATTCTCATCACCAGCCACCTTTTCCACCTTTCTTCTTTTTCTGTTGCTGTTTCTTTTTTGTTGCTGGAGCCCCTGCAGGTCTCTGGTGTCTTGGGGGTATGATGTTACTTGTAGAGGCAGATAGTGTCGCTGCACTGCCAGGTCTTGGGGAGGTGGGTGGGCTACTCACAGTTTTTCTGGCATCCAGTTCAGATGAAGCTCCTGCAGTTGCTCCCTGGGTCCCTTTTCCCATCTGATCCTTCTTTTTACCCTTCTTTCTTCCCTGGTAGAAAGAACATTCTTGCATTGGCAGCCATCTTTCTGGATCTGGGGTAAGTTTTGGGTCATAATTCTTAGGCAATTTTCCCTTCTTTTTCTTTTTCAAATCTCCCTTTCCTTGTTCCTTTGGTTGACTATCTCTAGTAACTTTTCCACCCTTCCAAATGTATGTAGCACCAGGAGAATTTTCAAGAGCCTCAACATCTACTTTTAGAGACATACTATCTGATGATGGCAAATGTTTACTAAGAGCTGTGCCTTTCTCTGGATCTGCAAGTGAGTAAGCAGAAATAAACTGTGCCAGGGTATGAATATCTTTTGGATTTTGTTTCCATAGCTGTTCTAGGTCACTAATTGCCTCCTCCCGCCCATATTTGAGCTTGAAGTTTGCAGCTTCTTTTATCAAGGACAAATGAGCAGGAGATTTGAGCTGATGGTTTTGATACCACCAGATAGCTTGTGTGAAGACATCAGTGGTACTATTAAATCTTCTTCATGGCTACACATGGTCACTAATGCAGACACCATGCCTGGTTTCTGCTTTAACTCCTCTCTGCTTCTCAATATTAGACATGCTAAGAAATATTCTCTTGAGAAATTTTCAACTGTGCCATGGTCAGCTTAATTTCAATTGCATTTTCTTGATGCTGATCTGAAAATTCCTGAAGCAGCTCTATTGCTTTTGTGTGCTGCTTTTCACGCAGAGCTGGGCACCTTGGGTTAACATAGGTGAGAGATGCTCGGGACTTTGGGAATGTAAACTGGCAGATATTTTGAGGCATTGTTCGGCCTGGTTTGTGTACATAGCAAGTAATGCCTTGTTAAATTGTTTTTTTTTTTTTTTTTAAATTTATTTTTTTATTGATAATTCTTGGGTGTTTCTCACAGAGGGGGATTTGGCAGGGTCATGGGACAATAGTGGAGGGAAGGTCAGCAGATAAACAAGTGAACAAAGGTCTCTGGTTTTCCTAGGCAGAGGACCCTGCGGCCTTCCGCAGTGTTTGTGTCCCTGATTACTTGAGATTAGGGATTGGTGATGACTCTTAAGGAGCATGCTGCCTTCAAGCATCTGTTTAACAAAGCACATCTTGCACCGCCCTTAATCCATTTAACCCTGAGTGGACACAGCACATGTTTCAGAGAGCACAGGGTTGGGGGTAAGGTCACAGATCAACAGGATCCCAAGGCAGAAGAATTTTTCTTAGTGCAGAACAAAATGAAAAGTCTCCCATGTCTACTTCTTTCTACACAGACACGGCAACCATCCGATTTCTCAATCTTTTCCCCACCTTTCCCGCCTTTCTATTCCACAAAGCCGCCATTGTCATCCTGGCCCGTTCTCAATGAGCTGTTGGGCACACCTCCCAGACGGGGTGGTGGCCGGGCAGAGGGGCTCCTCACTTCCCAGTAGGGGTGGCCGGGCAGAGGCGCCCCTCACCTCCCGGACGAGGCGGCTGGCCGGGCGGGGGGCTGACCCCCCCACCTCCCTCCCGGACGGGGCGGCTGGCCGGGCAGAGGGGCTCCTCACTTCCCAGTAGGGGCGGCCGGGCAGAGGCGCCCCTCACCTCCCGGACGAGGCGGCTGGCCGGGCGGGGGGCTGACCCCCCCCACCTCCCTCCCGGACGGGACGGCTGGCCGGGCGGGGGGCTGACCCCCCCACCTCCCTCCCGGACCGGGCGGCTGGCCGGGCAGAGGGGCTCCTCACTTCCCAGTAGGGGCGGCCGGGCAGAGGCGCCCCTCACCTCCCGGACGGGGCGGCTGGCCGGGCAGGGGGGCTGACACCCCCCACCTCCCTCCCGGACGGGGCGGCTGGCCGGGCGGGGGGCTGACCCCCCCACCTCCCTCCCGGACGGGGCGGCTGGCCGGGTGGGGGGCTGACCCCCCCACCTCCCTCCCGGACGGGGAGGCTGGCCGGGCAGAGGGGCTCCTCACTTCCCAGTAAGGGCAGCCGGGCAGAGGCGCCCCTCACCTCCCGGACGGGGCGGCTGGCCGGGCAGGGGGGCTGACCCCCCCCACCTCCCTCCCGGACGGGGCGGCTGGCCGGGTGGGGGGCTGACCCCCCCACCTCCCTCCCGGACCGGGCGGCTGGCCGGGCAGAGGGGCTCCTCACTTCCCAGTAGGGGCGGCCGGGCAGAGGCGCCCCTCACCTCCCAGACGGGGCGGCTGGCCGGGCGGAGGGCTGACCCCCCCACCTCCCTCCCGGACAGGGCGGCTGGCCGGGCGGGGGGCTGACCCCCCCACCTCCCTCCCGGACGGGGCGGCTGGCCGGGCAGAGGGGCTCCTCACTTCCCAGTAGGGGCGGCCGGGCAGAGGCGCCCCTCACCTCCCGGACGGGGCGGCTGGCCGGGCAGGGGGGCTGACCCCCCCCACCTCCCTCCCGGACGGGGCGGCTGGCTGGGCGGGGGGCTGACCCCCCCACCTCCCTCCCGGACGGGGCGGCTGGCCGGGCGGGGGGCTGACCCCCCCACCTCCCTCCCGGACGGGGCGGCTGGCCGGGCAGAGGGGCTCCTCACTTCCCAGTAGGGGCGGCCGGGCAGAGGCGCCCCTCACCTCCCAGACGGGGCGGCTGGCCGGGCGGAGGGCTGTCCCCCCCACCTCCCTCCCGGACAGGGCGGCTGGCCGGGCGGGGGGCTGACCCCCCCACCTCCCTCCCGGACGGGGCGGCTGGCCGGGCAGAGGGGCTCCTCACTTCCCAGTAGGGGTGGCCGGGCAGAGGCGCCCCTCACCTCCCGGACGGGGCGGCTGGCCGGGCGGGGGGCTGACTCCCCCACCTCCCTCCCGGACCGGGCGGCTGGCCGGGCAGAGGGGCTCCTCACTTCCCAGTAGGGGCGGCCGGGCAGAGGCGCCCCTCACCTCCCAGACGGGGCGGCTGGCTGGGCGGAAGGCTGACCCCCCCACCTCCCTCCCGGACAGGGCGGCTGGCCGGGCGGGGGGCTGACCCCCCCACCTCCCTCCCGGACGGGGGCGGCTGGCCGGGCAGAGGGGCTCCTCACTTCCCAGTAGGGGCGGCCGGGCAGAGGCGCCCCTCACCTCCCAGACGGGGCGGCTGGCCGGGTGGAGGCTGACCCCCCCACCTCCCTCCCAGACGGGGCAGCTGGCCAGGCGGGGGGCTGACCCCCCCCACCTCCCTCCCGGACGGGGCGGCTGGCCGGGCGGGGGGCTGACCCCCCCACCTCCCTCCCGGTCGGCACGGCTGGCCAGGCGGGGGGCTGAACCCCCCACCTCCCTCCCGGATGGCATGGCTGGCTGGGCGGGGGGGCTGACCCCCCACCTCCCTCCCGGACGGGGTGGCTGCCGGGCGGAGACGCTCCTCACTTCCCAGATCGGGTGGCTGCCGGGCGGAGAGGCTCCTCACTTCTCAGTCAGGGCAGCTGCCGGGCGGAGGGGCTCCTCACTTCTCAGACGGGGTGGTTGCCAGGCAGAGGGTCTCCTCACTTCTCAGATGGGGCGGCCGGGTAGAGACGCTCCTCACCTCCCAGACGGGGTCTCGGCCGGGCAGAGGCGCTCCTCACGTCCCAGAGGGGGCGGCGGGGCAGAGGCGCTCCCCACATCTCAGACGATGGGCGGCCGGGCAGAGACGCTCCTCACTTCCTAGATGTGATGGCGGCTGGGAAGAGGCGCTCCTCACTTCCTAGATGGGATGGCGGCCGGGCGGAGACGCTCCTCACTTTCCAGACTGGGCAGCCAGGCAGAGGGGCTCCTCACATCCCAGATGATGGGCGGCCAGGCAGACACTCCTCACTTCCCAGACGGGGTGGCGGCCGGGCAGAGGCTGCAATCTCGGCACTTTGGGAGGCCAAGGCAGGCGGCTGGGAGGTGTAGGTTGTAGTGAGCTGAGATCACGCCACTGCACTCCAGCCTGGGCACCATTGAGCACTGAGTGAACGAGACTCCGTCTGCAATCCCGGCACCTCGGGAGGCCAAGGCTGGCGGATCACTCGCGGTTAGGGGCTGGAGACCGCCCGGCCAATACAGCGAAACCCCGTCTCCACCAAAACCAGTCAGGCGTGAAATTGTTTTTTTTTTGAGATGGTGTCTCGCTCTGTCACCCAGGCTGGAGTGCAGTGGCGTGACCTTGGCTCACCGCAACCTCTGCGTCTCTGGTTCAAGCGATTCTTCTGCCTCAGCCTCCCGAGTAGCCGGGACTACAGGCACGCACCATCACGCCCAGCTAATTTTTGTATTTTTAGTAGAGACGGGGTTTTACCGTATTGGCCAGGCTGGTCTCGAACTCCTGACCTTGTGATCTGCCTGCCTCCGCCTCCCAAAGTGCTGGGATTACAGGCATGAGCCACCGCGCCAGGCCAGCTTTGTTAAATTCTATAGCTTGTAGTTGTTTCTTGGAAAGCTTAAACTCTACTCTTTCCGCATTGGTTAATTTCACTTTCTTCTTGGAGTCAAAGACATTTTGGTCCTTGTTAATGGTAATGATGTTATTTGCAATTACATCTAGTAACCCTACATCCGTTGGTTTTAGTAGTAGTATTTGATTGTAAAGTTGCAGAGCCTCCTCTGTTTGACCCTGAAGCTGCAGAATATAGGCCATCTGACCATAAGTGATGGCCAGTCCTGCCTGTGGGTCTTCCTCAGTCTCATCAGTGTCTTCTGATAATGAATGGTGGCAAAGACCTTCAGCTTTTTGTAGGATGTTCATGGCCTGGTTCAGCTGGCCGTGGTCTATCAGTGCACATGCAGTGTTTAGCACAGCTCATGTGTGCCTTCTTGGAAGCCCAGGCTCTCTGGAGCCACTTTTTCCCAATTGCTTTGAGCTGCAACAACTGCTGAAGGGTTTGTTTTCCTCTCCTCATCATAAGCATCGTGGGAGTTTCGGACGAGATCTCTTTATGCCACTAAGCATTCATCATAGTGTTCCAAACGGTGTAACACTTATCCATAAAGCTCCTTCAGTTTGTCTGTCTGCCGGTTGGTACTTTCTACTGTCTTCAAGACATTCTCAATTCTGTTGAGCCTGTACTCGCAATATGCCTTTTCAAAGGAGAGAGAGTTATTGGCTAACAGTTTGGTGCAAGTATTGATGACATTCAAGGCTTCTCTGAAACTTCCTTTCTGGATAAGGCATATCACTTTACAATGCAGGCCAGTTACATCATCTTTGTGGATCTGCAGTATCTTATTGACAGGCTTGAGAGCACACAGGAAGTTGCTGTTCTGGCCGTACCGGTTCACTTCACTCCACACAGCACAGGCACTGAAACTCCACCCTGCTGCTCACTGTCGCCCAGGCTGGAGTGCAGTGGCGCAATCTTGGCTCACTGCAACCTTCGCCTCCCGGGTTCAAGTGATTCTCCTTGCCCCAGCTTCCCAAGTAGCTGGGATTACAGGTGCCCACCACAACACCCGGCTAATTTTTTTGTTGTTTTTAGTAGAGACAGGGTTTCACTATGTTGGCTAGGCTGGTCTCGAACTCCTGACTTCGTGATCCGCCCGCCTCGGCCTCCCAAAGTGCTGGGATTGCAGACGTGAGCCACCGCACCCGGCCTATCATGGAAATTTTAAAACATTGCTAACAGTGGAGACTGGTGTAATAAAGCACTGTATCTTGCCCAGCTTTGGCAATTTTAAAACGTTACCAGTTTTGTTTGAGCAATACCTCTCACGTCCCTCCACTTGGATTATTTTAAAGCAAATCAAGCTGTCATATAATTTTGTCTGTAAATATTTTAGTACATGTCTCCAAAAGAAAAAGACCCCTTAAAATAATTACAATACTATTATCTTACCTTAAAAATTTTTTCTTAGTATCATCAGATATCCAATCAATACTCCTTGACTGCAGTATATATTTGTGTGTATGTATGTGTGTGTATGGGCGTGTACGTGTGTGTGTGTGTGTTTATATCATATCATATATATATATATGATTGTTTGAATTAAGATGCAAATAAGGTCCATACATTGCAGTTGGATGGTTTAAAGTCTCTTTTAACCTATAGGTTCTCTATCTTTTTTTTTCTTTGCAACTCTTTATTGAAGAAACTGAATTTTATTCTTTGCATCCTTGTAATGTAAAATATGTTATTTTATTTCTTGTGTTTCCTGTACATTGGTAGTTCATTGTAGAGGCTAAATCAAAAGAATCCAATTTTATTTTTTTGTGAGGGCAGGATTATTTTCATCAGGAAGTCTTCTTTCTTTCTTTTTGTGATACTAGCAACCATTCTTGAATGTTAACTTGGTCTATGAGTTCAGGAGGGATTACAATATGGTTACATCCTGTCATTTAGTTATTAGCTGAAATAGGTGTGTGTGTGTGTGTGTGTGTGTGTGTGTGTGTGTGTGTAGAAATTCTCCTTTGTCAATTATTTGGTTACCTTGAGGTATAGAGTGTATAGGAAGGGTTTGAAAAGTGTCTGATTATTTCCCTTGATTTACCAGTTTTCAAAGTTATGATTTGGTCCCCTAGCATCCTCCAGTGGTGATGGTTGAGGGTTTTAAATTTTTTCGCATAACATTATGAACGCCTATTTTAGCATACGTGGTGTGTTTCAGTCCATTGCAGTTACTGTCCTTTCGATGCTCAAATTGCTCCCTCTTTGGGCAGTGTAGGCTTATTTAGGCTGGCACCTGAGTCCTTCTGACACGTCTCTAGTAATCTCATAGCTTCCTTGCTTTACGATATGATGAGATGTTTCAGGTTCGTCCTGTATACTTTCTGTTTCAGACATGAAATCAGAGCAGACCATTTTTAAAAGAAAAAAAACCTAAATGTGCAATAAACAAAATGTTCAGTTTTACTAGTCATTAAATAAATAGAATTCAGAGCTAAAGTAGATACCATTTGTTGTGGACTGAGTGTTTGAGTCCCCCTACCCCCGTTCATATGTTGAAGCCCTAAGTCCCAATGTGATAGTATTTGGAAGTGGGGTCTGTAGGAGGTAATTAAGGTTAGATGAGGTCATGAGTGTGGGGCCTTCATATGGGCTTAGTGTCCTTAGAAGAAGAGACACCAGGAGGCTTGCTTTTTTTCTCCCCATGTGAGCACACAGCAGGATGGCAGCTGCCTACAAGGGAGGAAAAAAAGCCTGAGAATGAAACCTACCTTGCTGGTACCTTGATCTTAGACTTTTAGCCTCCAGAACTTCGAGAAATAAATTTCTGTTGTGGCCGGGCATGGTGGCTCATGCCTGTAGTCCTAGCACTTTGGGAGGCTGAGGTGAGACGATCACTTGAGCACAGGAGTTTGAGACCAGCCTGGGCAACATAGCGAGACTTTGTCTCTATTTATTTATTTTTTATTTAAATAATAATAAAAAAACTAAAAACATAAAAGAAACAAAATAAATTTCTGTTGTTTAAGCCACTCAGTTTATGGTTTTATCGCAGCCTGAGCAGACTTAAGACAGCATTTTTCAGTGATTATGTTGGCAATATAATTTAGACACAATTTTTTTATTTTTTTGGAGACAGGGTCTTACTTTGTCACCCAGGCTGGAGTGCAGTGGTGCGATCATGCTTACTGCAGCCTGGCCTCCCAGGTTCAAGCAATCCTCCTCCCTTAGCCTTCTGAGTAGCTGGGACTACGGGCACATATCACCACACCTGGTCAATTAAATTTTTTTTTTTTTTTTTTAGGGATGAAGCCTCACTATGTTGCCCAGGCTGGTCTTGAACTCCTGGGCTCAAGGGATCCTCCTGCCTTGCCCTCCCGAAGTGTTGGGGTTACAGGTGTGAGCCACCGCACCCGGCCTAGACCCAATTTAGTCCTTTATGGATTTGAAATGATTTGGTAAAGTTTAATATAAAGTATCATGTTATGATGACTTCTGCTGTTCCTTCTCTTGCTGATCTTATTATTTGGGCATCTCCTGGTGTGGAAAGGGAATGATAAGGATGATGGTAATTCTCGGTGCTGGTGCAGATGAAGGGAGGTATGTCCTCTCAGATAGCCTATGTAGACATTGATGCACTCAGTCCAGATAGCTGCTGTTAGATATCACAATGCAAAGTGTGCATAGCCTTCTACCCAGAAAGTCCACATTTAGTAGGAATTTATTCTGAAGAAATAGTAGGAAATGTTAGAACAGATATATGTACATAGTAAAGAATAGGAAATAACCTTAGACAAGGAATTATTTAAATGGATTATATTACCTTCCTTGCATGCAGCCATTGAAAGTGATGACATGCATTTATAGCAACCAATCTGGGAAGGTACCCATAATATTGAGTGAAAAAGATAGGTTACATAAACATAGGCACAGCACTTGGAAACATATAGGCACAGAAGATGCTGAACAACTAGGCTTTGAAGGCTGAGCCGAGAGGATCTAAGCTCCAGAAACCACCTAATAGATGTTTGTTTAGGTAACCATGGTCTCAAAGACTGCACCAACTGGTTTAATTCTCCTGTCATAAGATTCAAATTTCCTGGACTGAGCATATGATTGACCGTGAGTAATTTGCCTACCCCTTAGGGGTGTGTGTGTGTGTGTGTGTGTGTGTGTGTGTGTGTGTGTATTGTTCTCAATTGAGATTTCTATAAAGACCATATAGAATGGGGACGGACTCACAAGGAGAGTTGAGGTTATTTTAACTAAAGAAAGGGGAAGACATTCCAGGAAGACAAGGAGATAGATGCTCACTACCTATTTAGCTAAAATTAAATACATCTGGGCCGGGCATGGTGGCTCATGCCTGTAATCCCAGCACTTTGGGAGGCTGAGGTGGGTGGATTACGAGGTCAGGAGATCGAGACCACGGTGAAACCCAGTCTCTACTAAAAATACAAAAAAGGATTAGCCGGGCGTGGTGGCAGGCGCCTGTAGTCCCAGCTACTCAGGAGGCTGAGGCAGGAGAATGGCGTGAACCCAGGAGGCGGAGCTTGCAGTGAGCTGAGATCGCACCACTGCACTCCAGCCTGGGCGACAAAGTGAGACTCCATCTCAAAAAAAAAAAAAAAATTAAATACATTATTTGCTCAGAAACATTAATCACATCTCTATAAAATGACTGCAAACTCTGATAAATAAATGCTTTCTTTTCCTTTTAACCATCTCTTTACCATGGTAGGATCTATACCAGTGAGTCAGCTCTACTTGGTTTCTTGCTTTCATAGAATATAATTGGTGAAAATTAAAATTTTGAATTCATGGATTTAAAAATTTATGCCCTTTTTCCTTTTAAATATGGCTAATTTAGAATCAGTTATTTTTTCTAATGTAAGCAGAAATAACAGTCTCTATACTTATGTGGTGTCAAGGATACTCACCCGTGAGATAAAGAGTATTTTAAGAATAGAATTGAAATGTAGTATTTATGGAAAGCTCCAACAGTAATGGTGTGGTAGGTTATAGAGTGTAGGAAGTTATTCTGTAGGTGTGCAGCAGTGCTGTGCAGAGGATATAGATTTATTTGAACATCTTTCTCACTGTTATTATTTTTAATCAGAAACACAATTAGAGTCAAAATGGATTTGAGAGAGCTTTGCAAAAGATACACACTATAATGTAAGATACTGATTTCTCACTTTTTAAAAATTAAAGACTCAATTTAGACTGTAATGGATGGGAAAGGATTTGGAAACATGTTACATGGGGTATTAGGTTATTACCATTATTTCTACTGTTTCTTCCTTTTGTAGTTTTAACATGTATCCCAGTTTGTAATGGGCATATTAGATCCCCTGGGATAAAGTGCTTGTAGAGTCTAATCTATTAATGTCTGGTTAAGTCTAAGAATTTGATCCTTTAAGTCAATCATGGTTTATGAAACATTTTTTAAGATTTTTATGAAAGAAAGCTATGAAGTCTTACAGCTTTTATTTGTATGTTTCAGCTATTGATCCAGCTAGTTACTAGTTGGAACACTACATTCTAAAGACTCATTCGTATCTGCTTTCCAAAACTGTTGCTCAGCAATTTTGAATTCTACTTAAATGTTATAGAGTGTTGTCACTAGGTTCAGAATTTTTTCATCCTACTGGATGTTTCTTTTATTAGTTTCTTGTCAAGGACAAAAGGAAGATTAGTTTAAACTTCTTGAGTCAGTTATACCTCTGATTTGTGTGTGTGAATGTTTTTCAGTCCCAGTTAGGGAAGTCAAGAGTTTTGTGTAGGAAGCTCTTACAGGACCATGTTGTTCTCCCCTGCAACTGTGCCTTTCCACTATCTTTGGCTATTAAGAGTGTGTTTACCTCCATGGGGAAATGCACATCATTGTTACGAACAGCTATGGCAAAATGGTAGTGTCAGAGATCCTCAGACAACAAACCGAGCTGTTAGTGCCGGGGCAGTTTTAATATTCATGAAAAGTTGATCAGCAGTGATGTTACCATAGGCTGAGAAAATATACAGGATTATCTTTACACGTAATCAGTTTCTTAAGCTTCAAATGACCCTCTTAGCCACAAAACCGGAGGCACAAATTCAGCTCCAGTGGTTAGAATATCAAGACCTATATCATAAGAAGTTAGGCTTCTGCTGTGCGCACAAAACCCATCAGCCAAAGCTGACATTTTCGGCAGAGTTACTGTTTAGAGTTGTTAAATAATCAGAGAATTTAACTGTTAACTGTATGTTAACAGATTAGAGAATGCCATTAAAATGTGATGCCTGGCCGTGCATGGTGGCTCATGCCTGTAATCCCAGCATTTTGGGAGGCTGAGTTGGGTGGATCATTTGAATGCAGGAGTTGGAGACCAGCCTGGACAACATAGCCAGGCCTCGTCTTTTTTTTTTTCTTGAGACGGAGTCTCGCTCTGTTGCCCAGGCTGGAGTGCAGTGGCGCAATCTTGGCTCACTGCAAGCTCTGCCTCCTGGGTTCACGCCATTCTCCTGCCTCAGCCTCCCAAGTAGCTGGGACTATAGGCACCCGCCACCACGCCCGGCTAATTTTTTTGTATTTTAGTAGAGACGGGGTTTCATTGTGTTAGCCAGGATGATCTCGACCTCCTGACCTTCTGATCTGCCCACCTCGGCCTCCCAAAGTGCTGGGATTACAGGCATGAGCCACCGTGCCCGGCGTCTGTTCTTTACAGATAATTTAAAAACTAGCTGGGCATGGTGGTGCACCTGTGTCCCCGCTACTCGGAGGCCTGAGGTGGGATGATCGCTTGAGCCTGGGGAGGTTGAGGCTGCAGTGAGCCATGATTGTGCCACCGCACTCTAGCCTGGGTAACAGAGCGAGACCCAGTCTCCAAAATAAATAAATAAGTAAGTAAGTAAATAAATAAATAAATAGTGATGCCTGGATTTAATGTATCTGAGAGAAAGAGGTTTAAAGAGGTTGGGTTGCTCAGGCGTGGTGGCTCACACATGTAATCCCAGCACGTTGACAGGTTTAGGTGGAAGGATTGCTTGAGCCCAAGAGTTGGAGACCAGCCTGGGCAACATAGCTAGACCTACTTCATCACTGCAACTAATGTAAAAAATTAGCCCGGTGTGGTGGCAAGTGCCTGTGGTCCCAGCTAGGTGGGAGGCTGAGGTGGGAGGATCACTTGAGCCCAGGGAGGTCAAGGCTGGGTGACAGAGTGAGACCCTGTCTCAAAAAAAAAAAAAAAAGAAAAAAGAGGTTGGGTCATAGGAGAAGCCCATAAGATGAATGCGGTTGACACTGAGGTCACCTTTTCCAGGCCTTACAAGTGATTTGAGCCTTTACCATTTTTATTCTTGTTATATTTTCCCATGAAATGAGAAACTCAGTCTTATGTTTCATATGTAGAAACTACTTTTCTGAGTTAATTTTCTGTTGCCTGAATAATGAAATAAATAATCTAATATTTGAAATGTTTGGGGGTAATGCACAATAACTCTTAATAAAAGACAGAAAGCTCACATTTTGCTTATCTTATTCCATTAGTAATTATTTTTAATACTGGGACAGAAGTGAGAATGAAAGTGGCACGCATTCTGTTTCGTCTTTTTACCCAGCTTTGCCTCTGAGGGACTTGGGAATAAATTAGGTAGTGTAGGATTGGGATGCTGCCCAGAATCTATCTATTGTAGCTTACTCTAATGCATCAGTTCCCAGCCTTTTTGGATTTATGACATTCTATTTGTGTTTGATTTTGCATCTCCCTCCTCACAACTTCAATGGCTGTGACAGCCGGGTCTGTGTTATCAGTGGAGAGCAAAGTCCTGATAGGAACTCCACAAATTTTCTCTCTCATTCAGTTTTATCTTAATTACATTAACCTTTAATTTTAACTATCACTTTCAGACTTTTTCTGGACCATTAACAAGCTGCTCAATTACATTGCTATATGGAATATGTTTATTTAAAGTTTTTGACCAATTAAAATGCCTTGAAAAATTTTGTGATACAGTATAAAAAGTAGTCAATGATAGTGAGAATTGTATTTTATGTGCATTTTTGTGCAAGAAATTTGATAGAGTAATATTAAGTATCATTTGGTCCCTGCTAGGCTAAAACTGCTTCTTTTTTTGAGACGGAGTCTTGCTGTGTCACCCAGGCTGGAGTACAGTGGCACAATCATAGCTCGCTGCACCTTGATTTCCCTGACTCAAGTGATCCTTCCACCTTGGCCTCCCAAAGTGCTGGGATTAGAGACATGAGCCACCATTCCTAGTTAAAATGCATTTCTTTTCTTTTCTTTTTTTTTTTTTTGTTTTGAGACGGAGTGTCGCTCTGTCACCAGGCTGGAGTGCAGTGGCACGATCTTGGCTTACTGCAGCCTCCGCCTCCCGAGTTCAAGCGATTATTCTGTCTCAGCCTCCCGAGCAGCTGGGACTACAGGCGCCTGCCACCACACCCAGCTAATTTTTGTAGTTTTAGTAGAGACTGGATTTCACCATGTTGGCCAGGATGATCTCGATCTCTTGACCTCGTGATCTGCCTGCCTTGGCCTCCCAAAGTGCTGGGATTACAGGCATGAGCCACTATACCTGGCGCCAAAATGCTTTTCTTTAGAGAGAGATATAGAAGCAATAATGTTTATGAGGTGCTTTGGAATCAGCTTTCTATAAATTTATTGTAAAATAGAGAAGTCTCAAGGTTGACCATATGGTTCAGAAATGGTAGGAGTATTGTTCTTAATTCTGAGAGCCTTGGGATACCACATTTTTTCTTCCCTTTCTTAGCTTTGTTTTCTGTGTTTCGCAAATACCTCTTGTCTCCTTGGCTGACTGATGGTCATATAAATGGAATCTCCTTGGCTGTCCTTCACCCATGTTTAGTTGGTGAAGTTCTTTCTCCCCCACATGACTGAGAAAAATGGCATGTGATTTTACTAATAGGGAATTGATCTGTTACTCTGATGTATACAAGACAGCCAAAACTTGATGTATACAAGGAAGCACTATCAGGTGAGTGATACCAGTGATCTATGGAGGTCAGTTTAAGCCAATGACTTCCCCCTTTTAATTTTCATCACTTATTCATTATTTATTACCAAACCTTTCACTAGATTGTTAATGACTAGCAGAATTGGTTTCGCTCCTTTGGTGTTGAGTGGTAGAGTGGACCCCAGATGAGATGTCCCAAGAAGGAGGCAGACAGGGGAGGCTGGGCGCATTCACAAATTAGATCACAAAAGAGCCCTGAGAAGTTAAGATTTGGTTAATTCCTTTCTCTTCATTTTGTGTCCGCCTGGCCTTAAGTACTGTCTGTTACCACATAATATTATTTTGAGAAGCAGATTATTAATATTTTATAGCATGGGTTTATCTAATGTTATTGAAAGATTGTTAATCAGCTGGGATGCATACCTTCAGCTACTGAATTTTTAGTTCGGTGGTTTAATACGGTCATACTCTTCTGTGTGAAAAATATTTTGTTTCTTGGCTTCTGTATTCATGTGTGGAACTTCATTGTCATGTGAGATTTACAAGCTTCTGCCTCTTAATTCTTAATATAACTAATATTTTTAATATGATTCTAACTTAGACTTAATATAAACTATTTTTTATATATAGGGACATTTGAAAGAAGTACACTGTCTCTTCTAATTCTCTGGTCTCTTTGTACATTTAAAAACACACAGAAACAACAATCAAAAAATTCCTGAGATAGATTGGCTCTAATGTAAACTGCTGAGTTATGAGTAACTGTATTTTATTTTAAAAGATGCTTTTTCTTTGGATATGTGAGTCTCTCTAAAAATCCAGGTAAATGGGGCTTCAGGTGGAAAATGACTGCTCGCATGCATTGAAGCTTTTCCACTTCCCTCTTCTGGTGCTGATTGGCTGGTGCTGAAATTTGAGTCTAGTTTTGACAGTGCAGAGTCTTTGTACTCCTTAGTCTTTTCTCAGGACCCCCACTTCTGGTTTGACCAGATCACTATTGTAGGCACCAAGTAGCTAAGCTTGATATACTGAGCTCAAAGAGGAAAGGTTTTAGATTCTAGAAGATTTTGGTTAGGAATAGTCAGATTAAACAGAGGTTAGCTGCATTGAAGCTCCACTTTCTCTAGCAGAACTCTCAGGCTGCAGAGAACCCAGAGGGTTTGGATGGTTGGGACAAAACATGTAGTTGAAGGAGATTCTGAATGTGAGTTTGGACGGTTTTGAAATGTGTGAAGCAGTTGTAGCAGATAGAGCATCTAGGCCTGTAGCATTTCATTTTTTTAAGTTTATGGAGTTTACTGTGTTACCTCTTAGGTGTATAAGTATTTTTCATGGTTGGTTGCCTTGTAACTCCATGTTCATGACATATTTTGATGTGTAAAAGTTTATTCTGTGTAGTCAAACCTATCGATCTTTTTTCCATTGTTTCTACCTTGATTTTTTAGAAAGTCTTTTTCCCATAGAATGTTTTTTCTTTTTTTTTTTTTCTTGAGCAGATGTTGGGTATTTTTAATTTTTTTATAAGCTTTTGTTTATTTACTTTTTTAGGTGGAGTCTCGCTCTGTCACCCAGGCTGGAGTGCAGTGGTATGATCTCAGCTCACTGCAGCCTTCGCCTCCTGGGTTCAAGCGATTCTCCTGTCTCAGCCTCCCAAGTGGCTGGGACTAAACGTGCGCACCACCATGCCCAGCTACTTTTTGTATTTTCGGTAGAGACGAGGTTTCACCACGTTGGCCAGGATGGTCTCGATCTCTTGACCT